>NC_000003.12:169917695-170069210 GCF_000001405.40 Homo sapiens | reverse complement strand
CCTGACTCAGTGCAGCAAATGACTCCCTCTCCAACTGCGGAGTAAGAATGAGGTTTTCCCCTCTGGGGAAGATAAAACAATCTTTGGACGGTAGGCAGAGTTGAGGATTAGAGGAGCATCATACTGATAACAGGGAGACTGCATAAAAATACATATAGCGGAAGTTGAGACCTCTCCAGCCTTTTTACAGTTGGATTTCAGGAATACTATTATTACAAGATATAAAGACTCAAACAGTTCTCTCTAGGCATCAGCCCAGGAAGAAATATCTAAAGATACTACATTGAATCTTCCCTGAAGAAACAGCCTAGATACTGCCCTACTTATAAATATGACTGGACATCCAAAGATCCTCAGACATTCAAAGAAAATCTCTAGTATTGAAAGTTAAACAAATCCACAAGCAGAAAAAAGACAACTTGGAGGAAATAGACACAATGCTAGATAGAAGAAAGCTATTTAAAAACTCATTGTTTTCAGGGAGAAAATATTGCATCCATACAAGAAGAGGAGGCTATTTATAATAACAACAGAAAACAAAAAAGACCTCTTGGAAAATAAAATATGATGGCAGAAGTAGTAAGGTAAACAGAGAGTTGGAAAATAATGTTTGGGAAATTTCCTAGAAAAAGTGAAATAAAAAGAGAAATAGTTAAGAAACATGGAGGACCAATCCAACAGGTGCAAACTCTGAATAACAGGAGTCACAGAAAGAGAGCAAACTGGAGGGGAAGAACTCAAGAAAAGGCAATAATGAGCCAAGTGCAGTGGCTCACACCTGTAATCCCAGCACTCTGGGAGGCCAAAGTGGGTGGATCACTTGAGGTCAGGAGTTTGAGACCAGCCTGGCCAACATGGAAAAACCCAATCTCTACTAAAAATACAAAAAAGAAAAATAATTAGTGGGGCATGGTGGTGCACGCCTGTAATACCAGCTACTCAGGAGGCTGAGGCAGGAGAATAGCTTGAACCTGGGAGGCAGAGGTTGCAGTGAGCCGAGATCACACCACTGCACTCCAGCTGGGTGACAGAGCAAGACTCCGTTTCAAAAAATAAATAAATAAAAATAAAGAGTGTTTCAACTTATAAATGAAACGTAAAATTTAGACTTAGAATTCCACCATCTTGCAACAACTTCTCCCCAACCCACCACCCACGTAGACATTTTAGCACCTGTACCTACCATCATCTCAACAGGAGAGACAACCAGACATTTTGTGCCTCCTATATGGCAAACCTGAGTTTCATTAAATCTCTGAATCCAGCTGCCAGTTTGCAAGAAATAGAGGATTGAGGGATATACTGAGCTGAATCATGAGCATGCAATTAGCAAGACTCACACTGTGGAAAACCCTATTGGTCAAGGAGTCCAGTTCTTCAAGAGAAAAACAAAGGGGAAAAATGGAGAAGTAATTTAGAGAGTAAAAAAACACATCCCAGATAACTTTTTTTTTTAAAGGTAAGACTAAATTGGAGTCTCTAAAGATATGCATTTGGGTGGTAAAACTTCTAAATGCAAAGAAGTGCTGATGACTGTAAAAGTGAAGTTATTTTGGGGGAAGCGAGGGACTGTGATTGCAGAGGTCACATGGAAGGGGCCTATTGGAGCAAAGTTCCTGCTCTTTACCTGAGAGGTGGTGACATGGGAATGGGGGTCAGGCTTTTTGGAAACACTGGAAGCCAGAGATGCCTTCAATTCTAAGGGACTGATCAAACTAGAAGAAAAAAAATGGTAAAATATTAACCTAATTTATAAAGAGCTCCTGGAAATCAAACAAGAAAAAGATCAAAATCCCAATATTGAAATAGTAAAATGAACAAAGGATTTGAAGAGATAATTCACAAAAGAGGATAAATGGGCTCTTAAACATATGAAAGAAGGATCAGCATCACTCTTAAAAAAACAGGCCTGGCACGACGGCTCACGCTTGTAATCCCAGCACTTTGGGAGGCTGAGGCAGAAGGATCGTTTGAGTCCAGGAGTTCAAGACCAGCCTGGGAAACATGGCAATATCCTGTCTCTACTAAAAACACAAAACTTAGCTGGGCATGGTGGCCTATGCCTGTAGTCCCAGCTACTTGGGAGGTTGAGGCGGGAGGACTGCTTGAGCCCAGGAGGTTGAGGCTGCAGTGAGCTGTGATTGCACCACTGCACTCCAGCCTGGGCAACAGAGAATGACTGTCTCAAAAAATTAATTAAGAAGTATAAAAGAAAAAATAGAAATTTAAACTACACTGTTTACCTCATAAAGGATAGGCAAAACCCCAAAATTTGTCCACACAGTATCTCTAGTGAGGCTGTGGAATAAATAGGTATCTTAACCTATTTATCTGGTGGGGCTGAAGAATATAACTGGAGCAACTCCTACAAATGGCAACCTGGTAATATTTATCAAAATTACAAACATACATATATGTCCTGTGAGCCAAAAACTCCTCTCCTAAGGATTTATCCTATAAATTTACTTGCATGTGTGCAAAAGTAGGTGTTTATAAGAGTATTCATGGAGGCATTGTTTAAAATAACAAAAGACTGGAAACTACATTATAACTTAAACAACTTACTTTAAACTTAAATGTCCGCCAATAGAGAACCATTAAGTAGATTATGGCACATCTATCCAGTGCAATACTATGCAGCTCTCTTTTAAAAATGAGGAACTCTCCATGTAATGATATGGACATGTCTCCAAGACACATTGTTAAGGGGAAAAGCAAGACACAGAATAGAGCAAGAAATACACATGATTTGCATTTGAAAAGGGGAGAAATGGCCAGGCGCGGTGGCTCACACCTGTAATCCCAGCACTTTGGGAGGCCGAGGCGGGCGAATCATGAGGTCAGGAGATTGAGACCATCCTGGCTAACATGGTGAAACCCGTCTCTACTAAAAATACCAAAAATTAGCCGGGCGTGGTGATGGGCGCCTGTAGTCCCAGCTACTCGGGAGGCTGAGGCAGGAGAATGGCGTGAACCCGGGAGGCAGAGCTTGCAGGGAGCCGAGATCGTGCCACTGGACTCCAGCCTGGGTGACAGAGCGAGGCTCTGTCACAAAAAAAAAAAAAAAAAAAAAAAAAAAAGAAAAAGAAAAAGAATAGTGTCAAGTAATCTTCTATATATACATGAAGAAACCCTGGAAGGACACTTAAAAAGTGAGCACTGGGCATGTGTGCATGCCTATATCCCAGCTACTCAGGAGGCTGAGGCAGGAGGATTGCTTGAACCCAGTAGTTTGAGTATAGTCTGGGCAACATAGCGAGACCCCATCTCTTAAAAAAAAAAGTTAAAGACAGTGGTTACAGGGGTAGGAACTTGGCAGATGGGGTCATGAATGAGATGAAGACTTCAGTACATTTTTTTTCCTACTATGAACATTCTGCTAAACATGTGACTGTATTAAGTATTCAAAAAATTAAACACATTGAGTAAGGAAAAAAACAAGTTATCTACAAATTGGTACAATTCTCAATTACACAAATAATTTAAGTATTTAGTTTACTTTAAAAAGCTTTTTAATATTTCATGAAAGAAACTTTCCAACATAGAATTCTACACCAAACTAAATGGTCAATTAAGTGTAGGTATAAAATGAAGCCACATACTCAAAAATGTTTTACTCACATGAAGTTCTTAGGAAGCCAATGAAAGAAAGGCATACGTCATCAGAATGAGGAATAATAAACTAGGAGAGCAATACATGCGGTCCAGGAAATGGGATGCATTAGAAGAGAAGAAAAACCATGTAGAGTACAATTCGAGGATTCCGAGGTTGGTGAAGATTATCTAGGCATCAGATCCAGAGTGCACAATCTAAATTAGAGTAGGGCACATGGCTATGGGAGAAATTCCTCCAGGAAGGTGGAAATTCCAAATATCTTTGAACATACCAAAAGATTTACACAAAAGAGAAGAGTCTGTGGTTGAATTAGCGATAAGTATATAGAAAAAAAAGCAGACAGATAACTGAAAGGAAAACAAAAAAGTTTAGAAAGGAAATGTAATTGTAATGTACGATACTCATTAGCTATTTTATTTTAAAATAAAACTTTATTTTTTAAAATAATTTTTGTTTCAACTTTATGATGACAAATAATTTTCAAGTTTATTTCCTCATTTGTTTAAATACAAAGCTAAACCACAAACAGGTACAACAAAGATACTATCTCACATCTACACTCCCGTCAGATCCTCTTCGGCTGACCACTCACCAGGCTGACTGGGGGAAGAGACTTTCTTAGGTAGCACCGTTGTGAGGCCCAGGGTGGGGTGGGGGAATCAAAGGCGAGGACAGGCTCTCATACCTGCTTCCATTCAGATTTACCTGGGACCAGGGTGGGCAGGAGACACCAGGTCATGACTCCCGAGTCTCACTCAGTAAGAATGGGTCCTGCATAGCTGGGTGCGGTGGTTCACGCCTGTAATCCCAGCACTTTGGAAGGCCGAGGCGGGCGGATGACGAGATCAGGAGTTTGAGACCAGCCTGGCCAACATGGTGAAACCCCGTCTCTACTAAAAATACAAAAAATTAGCCAGGCGCGGTGGCATGTGCCTGTAGTCCCAGCTACTCAGGAGGCTGAGGCAGAAGAATCGCTTTAACGCGGGAGGTGGAGATTGCAGCGAGCCGAGATTGTGCCACTGTACTCCAGCCTGGGCGACAGAGTGAGACTCTGCCTCAAAAAAAAAAAAAAAAAAAAAAGAAAAGAAAAGAAAAGAATGGGTCCCGTGTAGGGAGGGTCGAGGCCGCCACCTACTCCTCCAGCCTTGACAGTCTAGGTGAAAACCTTGGCCTATCTTAGATTCCCGGGGGTCTCGGCCCTGCCCGCACACCTGGGCGCCTTTCTCTGAGGCTGGCAGCCGCAGTTCGGGTTGGGGGATCTGGGCTTGTGTACTCACCCCCGCCAGCTCATGGCTGCGACCTCGCAGGAGCCGTGGGTGTCTGACAAACACGAGGCCTAGACGGCAGCTCTGGAACTTTCAACCCAGCAGGACGCGGGGAAAACTGGCAGGGGTATTAAGTACGTAATTTCTGGTCCCACTACAAATCTCTAATTTTGATTAGAATAGAGTATCATCTCAATCTCTTCTACAAAAACAAAAGCAATGCCCCCCCCAAAAAAATACAGCCGCTTCACTCACTTCAAGACCTATGTACATGTAAGTTGTTTCCTGTGTTTTATTATTATTTTTTAATAAATTCAGCGTTCACATTTCTACAAAGAATTAGCCCAGTTTCAGGAAATTCTGCCCGGCAGGGAAGGCAAGCCACACTCTCCTCACCCACGTCTGGTTTGACTTCACACCCCGATGCTTCCAGGTGCTCAGAAAAGCCGCAGCGGGTGGAAGAGGAAATCTATGCCGGCCCGCGCTCAGGGCCACGAGCTCAGTAAGCTTTCGAGAAAGCACGGGGAAGACAAGCTTACTGCCCAATCTTTTAAAAATATATTCATACACTTCAAAGAGCGCCTGTCCAGATGTTAGGAGAACAAGAGCTTGGAGCCATCCCGTCCAGGCCTTTGGGAGACAGCGTCTTCCTCATACCTCGTCGCGGTGTGGGGGACACGTCCCAGCTCTTCCACCGGAGAGAGGAGACTCGCGCGGCTTCCTAGTTCACGTTTGGCTCTAATCCTGTGCTGAGGTTTTTTTTTTTTTTTTTTTTTTGCTTTTTTTGTTTGTTTTTGAGACATGGTCTCACTCTGTCACCCAGGCTGGAGTGCAATGGCGGGATCTCGGCTCACCGCAACCTCCACCTCCTGGGTTCAAGCGATTCTCCTGCCTCAGCCTCCCCAGTGGCTGGGATTACAGGCATGCACCACCACGCCCGGCTAATTTTTGTATTTTTAGTAGAGACGGGGTTTCACCATGTTTGCCAGGCTGGTCTCAATCTCCTGACCTCAAGTGATCCACCCGCTTCGGCCTCCCAAAGTGCTGGGATTACAGGTGTGAGCCACCGCGCCTGGCCTGTGTGCTGAGTTTTTGACTGCATGCATGGGAAGCACAAAACGTTCAACCTGTATTAAAAAAAAAAAAAAAGGCACAAAAACAACTAGAATGTAAAAGTTTTGGTAATATAAAGCCATCTGTTTAAGTCCACCTTGGAAACCTGTAACATCCATTCATTCATTCATTCGTTCATTCATTCATTCAGTCATCTACTTATTTTGAGCTGGAGTCTCCCTCTGCCTCCCAGGATGGAGTGCGGTGGCGCGATCTCGGCTTACTGTGGAGATCCACGGAGATCCACCATGGAGGGGTCCCGTGGCGTCGGTGATCTCCGTGAGGCTCCGGTGCTTTTCTACCACAAAGGCGCCCCGGGAGAGCTCCCTCTGGTGTTCACACCCGGCCTTTGTCATTGATGAGGTCAGTCTTCACTCCTTCTTTCCTTTCCGCTTTCAACCAATTCATCTATTCTTTCCCTTTCTTCAAATTGCAGCTCCGCTTTGCCCTTCCTGGAGCTCCTTGGGACAGGGTAGAAATCCGTGAGTTTGCGACTTTTCCTTGAGCTTTTTTTCGGGGGCCTGTTTGCCCTTGATGGGCTATTTCAAGGCTTGCTTGGCGATGGCTGCATTGGTGGAATCACAAGACGAGGCCGGAGGTTTTGGAAGTTCTGCTGCTTCACATTTTTGGTTTGGAAAAGGTGCGAGGGGTCCTCTCCTGGCGTCTTTGATCTTCTGTGCTTGGGCTTCGTGCTCCGTGTTGCATTCTTTTCCTGTGGATTCCAGCTAATGGTTTCCCCTGGCATTTGACTTCGTGACGTGTAACGGAGTTCTCCTCCTGAAGGCTGGAACACATTCCAGAGCATTTGTTAGGCTCACGGAGGAAAAGATCTTTGATTGCCAGGACATACATTCTCCCCAACGTCGGTGCAGCGCCTCCCTGGACCCCTCTGCTCCACTATCTGCGGGCTCGGGGCCGTCGCTGTCACCCCCGCTGCTGCCTCCGCCGCACGGGACTTGGACATCTTCCTGCCTGGAGAGGGGGACCCTGGGGAGGGGGCGCTCAGAGCGCAGAGCTGTTTGGAGGGCTGTGGTGGGAGCCGATGTCCCCCTCCTGCCGCTAGGCCCAGTAGGGCCCGACACACCCACCTCAGGAAAATTTTCTTTTTAGTGACACATAAAATAATGATGTCTTACAATGGATGGCATGTTGATTGAATAAAATATTGTAAAATAGACCTTATAAAATAAAAAAACTTGGAATTTAATTTTTATTTATTTATTTTAAAATCATAGAGATGGGGTCTCCCTATGTTGCCCAGGCTGGTCTCAAACTGCCGGCCTCAAGCGATGCTCCCACCTCCGCCTCCCAAAGTGCTGGGATTCCAGGCAGGAGCCACTGCGCATGGCCTTGAAATTTAAAAATAAGAAAATGTACAGAGATAGTATATAACCATTTAAAAGAATATCTTTGAGGACTATTTAATGGAGACTTGCCAATAATTATAATATGGAACAAGCAGAAGGAACATAAAAAACCATGTAGAGTACAATTCAATTTTGTTTAAATATATGTAGATGAGATGGAAATATACCAAAGTGTTAATGATGGTTATCTTAGTGTGGTCTTATAAGACTTCATTTTATCTCGATATTTTCCCATTTTTCCTATGATGATTTATCTTATAATCGGATAGCCATTTTCATAACTATGATACCATCATTTTATCTATGAAATCAAATTATATAGTATTTAATACATAGTCCATATTAAAACTGTCCCATTAATTAAAACTGTCCCATAAATATTAATTTAATGAAATTAAATTAAATGGTATAGTATCTAATACATAGTCCATATTAAAACTGTCCCAATGTTGTTAGAGTTTTTTTTAATACAAAATCCAATCAAGGATCACATATTTGTCATGTCTTGTTAGTCTCTTTTAATTTTGGATAATTTGTTGTTGTTGTTGTTTTTTATCTTTCTTTTTTTTTTTTTTGAGACAGAGTCTCACTCTGTCACCCAGGCTGGAGTGCAGTGGCGCCATATCGGCTCACTGCAACCTCTGCCTCCCAGGTTCAAGCGATTCTCCTGCCTCAGCCTCCCGAGTAGCTGGGATTACAGGTGCCTGCCACCACGCCTGGCTAATTTTTGTATTATTAGTAGAGATGTGGTTTCACCATGTTGGTCAGGCTGGTCTTGAACTCCTGACTTCAAGCAATCCACCCTCCTGGGCCTCCCAAAGTGCTGGGATTACAGGTGTGAGCCACCGTGCCCGGCAATACTGACATTTTTGAAGAGTCCAGGTCAGTTATCTTGTAAAATATCACATAATCTCGATTTGTCTAATTGTTTTCTCAATATTAAACATTTCTGGCAAGAAAACTATCTAGATGATATATCCCATTATGTCATGTCTCATTACTGGTCATGTGATGTTAGGTCACTTGATTAAGGAGGTGTTTGCCATATTTCTTTTTCTTTTTATTATTAGTATTATTTTGAGACAGGGTCTCACTGTGTTGCTGAAGCTGGAGTGCAGTAGTACAGTCATAGCTCACTGTAACCTAGAACTCCTGGGCTCAAGTGATCTTCCCACCGCAGCCTCCTGAGTAGCTAGGACTATAGAGGTGTGCACCACCATGCCCAGTTAATTTTTTTTTAAAATACTGTTTTGTAGAGATGGGGTCTTGCTGTTGCCCAGGCTGGTCTTGAACTCCTAGCCTCAAGCAATTATCCCTCCTAGGCCTCCCAAAGTGGTGGGATTATAGGCATGAGCCACCTCGCCTCGTCCATTTTACTGTTGTAGAGGACCTTTTCCCTTTGTAATTAATACTTTGAGACTGTTAGACCAATCCGTTGCATAACAAAGTTTCACCTGATAGTTTTAGCATCCGTTTATTATCCTTGCCTGAATTAATCACCACACTGGGAGTTGTAAAATAGTAATTTTCTAATTCTAAGATTCATTCTGCTTTCATGAGCTGGCAGTTGTTTCTGGAAATACATTATAGATTCATTGATTTATTTTTATTAAATGTGTTATAATTCACTGCCATCATTCTTCTTTTGAATGCTTAAAATTTTCCAAATCATCTTGTCAGGGTTCCTTCAGGCTGGCTCCCATATGTATCTTTTGCCATCCCAGTTGCTGAGCACATGCCCGCTTTGGCACGTTGTACTTCTGGTCATTTTTTTTCAAGGAGCCCTGTTTTTTTTAGGAAAATATGGTATTTTAAAACTAGAATCTGGGTGGCACACTGATACCTCCAATGCAAAGCTACCATCTCAGGAGTCTTCCTCACCTTATTTCAGTATTTGTGAAATAGTGAAATACATACTTGAAAGATCATCTCCCACAGCAAGAATCTGGTTCCCACGTGGACACATGGTGGGAAACACCACACACTTGGGCCTGCTAGAGGGGGGAGTGGGGGGAAGAAAAGCATCAGGAAAAACAGCTAATGGATGCTGGGCTTAATGCCTAGGTGATGGGATAATCTGTACAGCAAACCACCATGGCACCCGTTTCCCTGTGTAACAAACCTCCCCATCCTGCACATGTACCCCTGAACTTAAAAGCTGAAGAAAAAAAAGGGCAGGAAGCCACACTAATAGCAAATTAGAGATTAACTTAAAGGATCAGGAAGGGTCCCAGCAGGAAGCAGACTCCAACTCCTGTGATTGAATACAGAATTTCAATGAAGAAATTAACAACAAAAAAGAACCTGGTTCCCAATGACATTAGTATATTGATTCATTTGTTCAAACTACAATACATATTAAGCAGTTTCAGAGTTACTACACTGATAGCATTGCCCAACAATTAACCAGGTAAATAAAGCCTAATTTTTTCCATTCTTTTTGTCCCTTGACTATATTCCACTAAGCTTATACAGTCTGAGTACTCTGTTATAAAGTTATCTGAATTCTCTTCTTTGTATTTATGTAATCAATTTGATATAGTGTTTTGATTATTAGTTTCTCTTTGTATATTCAATGACAGGATTTCCTTTGTTTTCATTATTTTTAGTTCATTTTAATTTTATATAATTGAATATGTAAAATATTTACATGGCTCAAAATCAAAACTATATAAAAAGGTACGCTCAGAAAAGTCTCATTTCCATACTTATTTCCTCCACTAATATCCACCCACCCCCTATCATTTATTTCTGGTTTATAGTTCCTGTGCATCTTTCTGCAAAAATAAGTGTGTGTGTGTGTGTGTGTGTGTGTGTGTTTGTGCATGTGTGTGTGTACATGTGTGGTTATTTCCCTTTCCATCTTAAATACAAGGTAGCACATTAGATATACTTTTTGTGACTCTTTATTGCCCCTTAAAACATCCTAGAAAGCATTTCATCTTTGTTAATAGCTATCTTCCTTTTTAATTTTTTAAAAATTGTTTTTATGGCTGCATTATGTAGATATACTATAGCTTATTCAGCCAGAGTTCTATGAGTGGACATAAAGGTTGTTTCCAAATTTGTTCTATCTGCAAATAATGTAGCGATGAACAACCTTCTGTACATATTCTTTGCTATTTTGTGGAGGTGTTTCCTCTGGAATAATTACTAGAAGTGAGGCCATTAGGTCAAAGGGTGAATGCTTACATAATTTTGTTAGATATTGCCAATTTTTCCTTCATAGGGACTGCTGATCATCATTTTTGAATGACGGTTTAACTAGTATTGAATTCTAAGTTGAAGATAATACTCTCTTGTGTTTTCAATTCTATTGCTGATGAGAAATCTGTTGTCAATGTAACCACTGTTTCTTAGAGGTATGGCAGAAACTTATTCTCCATTTTATCTTCCCTTCTTTTTCCCAGGCACGTGGCTGACCTGTTTCCCAGGCTCCCCAGAAGTTAGGTATGGCCGGTGGGGCGTGAGCAGACATGAGGAAGACCATTTCTGGCCTAGCTTATTCCCCACCCACCCACTTCCTGTGGGAAAGCAGGGCAATTCTGAAACCCATATGGGTGCCGTCAGCTGGGTCCCTGAGGGTACAGCCACCCAGTGGCCTGAAATACCCACCCAGGCCTGCTACACGAGAGAAGTAAGCTCGTACTGGATTTGATCCATTGCATTTTTGGTCTTTTTAAAGCATTTTAGCCCACTTGACTTAATACAAAACTGTTCTAACTGGTTCTTTTTCCTATCCCTCCCCCTTGCTTCTACTTCATAATTTTTATCTACTGCAAGACTTCATTCATCGTAAGAATTCTAAACATACTTACTTTATTGTCATTTCCAGGAATTCCAACTGCTAATTTCACTTTTAGTAAATTCGTGTCTTGCTTGAACAAATTTTGAACTCCATATCTATGTCTTCATGTATTTTAAAGTTTTGCTTTGCAAGCTTACTTTCAGTAGGAGTTTTCGATTGCTGTATCTTTCCCTCCTCTCTCCCTTCCCAGGCAGCTTTCAGTCCCTCCACCTGGCCTCTCAGGACTTCTTCCAAACCAGGTCTCAAAATGCCACTTGGTGTTCCTGCTCAGTTGTGGTATCAGCGATACTGCGGATCCAGGCCCTGGGCCAAGAAAGCAGCATGGCTCAGCTTCTGGTTCTGAAGCTGTGTCTTTGTCTCTGAAACTTCCAGAAGCCCATTCCTTCCAGGTAAGCCATCTTTTCCAGCCTTCCTTCTTAGGTTTGGGAGGGAGGGCACTGCAGTCTCTGATTTCAGTGTTGCCAATGTTTCTTAGAGGTATGGAAGAAACTTAGTTATTCTCCCAATTTACATTCCCTGGAGCCTGGCTCCAACTCCTTGGTATCAGCTCATGTGGATACTTTTACATCCCTATCTTTTCATTTTTTAATTTGTTTTTAATGTTAAGTTCAGTCTCCATAGAGTCTCAAAAATTGCCAGTGCCAACCATATTTCATCATGGCAGGGTATTGAGAAAAGTTTTCAATTAGCAAGTGCCTCAGATAAACTTCACTGGCTATGAAATGGCCACTGCACAAAGCTATATCCCCTTATTCTAAAAAACCTGAGTTTCTGGTTGCCCCTGCTGGAGAGGCCTGCAGCTTGAGCCTGCTTACCCCTTTGTATTTCAACTTACATTCTAGGTAACTAGAATGACTATAGCCCAACTATACTTATTTGGTTACCCTTTTTATATTATAACTACCTTTGCTAGGTGTTTGGAGCCTGAACTCCTGTGCCATCTTGACCAGATGTCATCACTTAAATAATTGTTTTGCTCTCCTGTGGCTCCGGTATACATTTTGTAAGACCCTCTTTACATAGTATGCACTCAAGCTAAACATAGTTCTGAGAAGTCTTGGTATTGCCAGTTATGAAATGACTTCACTGTATCATTTGCCTACTTTCAGTCTCATACAAGTATTAACTAGAGCACTGATGTATGAAATGTGGTATTCTGCATATACCCACATTATAGTTACTGTGATGGTTCAACTACCTTGTGATTCACCATGGCCCATAGGCTTTTTCTGCCAAAAATAGGCACAGTGCCAATCATTCTCCAATTTGAACCTCTTACTTACAAAATTAATTAGCCTTCACGTGATTCTGTCCAGTATTTTATAAATACGGTACCCCATTAATGCAGGTTATTTTGACTTCTGTTTCTAGTATTTCTCGCATACAAACATATACACTAATATGCCACCAGTTATGGATTAAAACTGATTAAACAGAATGGTTCCCAGACTGACCTCTAAAAGGTTAAATGATGACTTATCCCACACTGGAACCATATCCTTGATAATGTCTCTGTGTTACCTTCCCACCGTCTAACTGTGGTATCATGTGAGCTAACCTGTTTCCCCGGGCTGTTATTGATTATGTCATTCATAATGAAATCAATAGCATGAGAAAGTTAAGATTATGTCCCCTGCTTCCTCCAGATCCGTAAAATGTTCTTGAAAACAAATCAGGTTACACTGACACAATTCATTTTTCTATAAAGCTACCATGAATTTTTACTCAATGCCTTATGTTTGCTTGTAAATTAGTATTCTGGTGATGTATATTTTCACATAAACTTCCCTTACAATGTGACTGTATTTTATTGACTGCAAATTCTACACATATATTCACCTCGTCATCATTTTGGTGGGAACAGATAAGTAATACAAGTATAAGGTTCAGAATTAAAGAGAAAGGAGTTGCATACCTTGTACTAGTCATTCAGGTACTGAGTTTTAAGAACAACATCAACAAATAGAAAATATATCTTAAAAAAAATCAACAATATAGGAATGGGATTAATAAGAGCAACAAAGGATTATAAGAACAGTTGTTCAGATACTTATGGGCTGACCGCTTAGCAAACATGCTCACAGAAGAGGTTTAAAAAGAGTTTTTAAGGCCGGGCGCAGTGGCTCACGCCTGTAATCCCAGCACTTTGGGAGGCCGAGATGGGCGGATCACGAAGTGAGGAGATCGAGACCATCCTGGCTAACACGGTGAAACCCCGCCTCTACTAAAAATACAAAAAATTAGACAGGCGTTGTGGCAGACACCTGCAGTCCCAGCTACTCAGGAGGCTGAGGCAGGAGAATGGCGTGAACCCGGGAGGCGGAGCTTACAGTGAGCCGGGATCGCGCCACTGCACTCCAGCCTGGGGGACAGAGCGAGACTCCGTCTCAAAAAAAAAAAAAGTTTTTAAAAGAACATCTGAACTAGAGATTGCCTCCTGGTTCTCAATGATTATCATGTCCTTTAGTCTTGCTTTCTTCATCAAAATAAACGGCCTAAGCATACAATGATCTGGAAAGTAGCAATCAGAAATCTGTGCTCAATAGTCCCTGAGACCCCACTCTCCATCCCGGGCTTCTGAATGTGGCTCCTTGTATGACTCAACCACCAGAGAGGTTATGACATTCTTCATGCTTAGTTGTTCATGGTTTCTGAAACCACGGTTATTCATCATTGCTGAGAAACTGAACCAGAACAACCACCTAAGGGAGATCCTTTTTTCACCATCACATTGTCAGGTGTGATGTCAGGACCCAATCAGCCGGGGTCCAGTTCTCCTATAAGTCTTTGGTAACAGTATCCCAGACCTACGCCAGCTTGCCCCACTACCATTCTACCTGTTTTGTTTCCATTCTCAGGATTCAGAAATATAACATACACATCTCCTAAGAACGACTTTATATCCATACAGTAGAATATTATTCAGTCTTAAAAGGAAATGAAATCCTGGCCGGGCACGGTGGCTTATGCCTATAATCCCAATACTTTGGGAGGCCAAGGCAGATGGGTCACCTGTGGTCAGGAGTTCGAGACCAGCCTGGCCAACATGGTGAAACCCTGTCTCTACTAAAAATACAAAAAGTAGCTGGGCATGGTAGCAGATGGCGGTAATCCCAGCTACTAGGGAGGCTGAGGCAGGAGAATCACTTGAATTTGGGAGGCAGAGGTTGCAGTGAGCCAAGATCGGGCCACTGCATTCCACCCCGGGTGACAGAGCAAGACTTCGTCTCAAAAAAAAAAAAAAGAAAAGAAATTCTGATACATGCTGAAGGTGGAAGAACCCGTAAGACATTACACTAAGTGAATAAGCAGACAGAAGATGACAAATATCATATGATCCCATATATATGAGGTACCTAGAATAATCAAATTCATAGACAAAAAGTAAACAGTAGCCAGGAGCTAGGAGAAGGGAAGAATGAGGAGTTACTGTTTAATGGGTGCAGGTTTTCAGCACAGGATGAAAAAGTTCTGAAGATGCGTAGATAGCAGTATCAGTTGCTCAACAATGTGAATGTACTTAGTGCCATTGACCTGTACACTTAAAAATGGTTAAGATGGTAAATTTTAGGTATATTTTACTATAATGATTTGACCTGAGCAGCTCAGTCCTTCTATTCTGCCAGAAGGTGGTGATGTTTTCTTAGCCCCTGCTGTCTGCTTCAATGTCAGGCAAAAGCAATTTTGAAGAGACAGTTTTCTGGATACCTCTGGGACCTCAGGGCCTTTGAACTTGTGCTTCAGAAGACCATTCTGCCTGGGATGGTCTTCTTTCTTATACTCATGTAGCTTGCTCCCTCAACTGCCTGAAGTCTTCACTTAAATGATACTTTTTTTTTTTTAAGCATGAGACTAATAATGATGAGAGTTTAAGATAAGTTTGTTGGGCAGGCAGGGCTCTCAAGCCAAATAACTCTACACACACATACACACACACACACACAAACGCTGCTTTTTAGTTTATAAAATATTTTATGGAAATTGTCTGATTCAAATTGTCTAAATCATGTTCCTGAACTAATATTCCATGCACAAATGCCAAGATATTCAAGTGTTAAAGCTGAGTAATTAAAAAAAAAAACAAAAAACCAAAATGGGTAACTGTGGTCTTTTCCCTAATTTGAGGTGAAGAGAAAGTGCCAACAGATGAAAAATAAATATATTCACATTACTGAATACAGAAAACAAGCATATGACCATCTTGAGAGATGCAGAAAAATCTTTGGAAAAAATTCAACAACCATTCATGATAAAAACCTCTCAGCAAAGTAGGAAACTGATGGTTTCCTCAACCTGATAAGGAACATCTATGAAAAATCTATAGCTATCATTATACTTAAGTGTGAAAGACTGACCACTTTACCCCTAAAATTGGAAACAAGGTAAGGATATCTGTCCTTACTACATCTACTCAACATTTTAGGATATCCTAGCCCATTCAGTAAGGCGAGAAAATAAAAGAAAGGCATACAGACTAGAAAGGATAAGATAAAACTATTTGTAGATGGCATTTATGTATATTGATAATCCTAAGGTACTTACAAAAAATCTACTGGAATTAATAAATGAATTTAGTTAAGATCACAGGTCAATTTTTAAAACCACATTGCTATATATAGCAACAAAATTCAAAAATGAAGGAAAATATATCATTTCCAATAGACTCAAAAACATAAAATAAGAATAAATTTGTATAAATATTTATAAAATGTCAATGCTAAAAGCTACAAAACACTGCCAAAAAAACCTAAAGACCTTAACAGAGATATGCCATGTTCATGGATAAGAAGATTAATATTATTAACATGTCAATCCTCCCCAGATTAGTTGATTCAATGTAGTTCTGATCAAAATCCAACCAGGCCTTTTTCTTTTTTAAAGATATTCACAAGCTGATGCTAAAATATATATGAAAATACAAAGGGTTAGAATAGCCAATAACAAAGTTGGACGACTTACACTACCTGATTTCAAGACTTATAAATTATAGAACTCAAGACAATGAGCTTAAGAGTTCAAACCAGTCCACTTGATTTATAAGAAAGTACCAATGCAATTCAATGGAGGAAAGGAAAGTCTTTTCAACACACTGTGCTGGACTAACTGGATAACCGTATGAAAAAAAAAGGACCTTAACTCCACTTCACACCATTAACAGAAATTAACTCAGGAGAGATCACAAGCATAGCTATAAAAGGTAAGACTCTACAAGGAAAACAAAGGAGAATATGTTTGCAACCTTAGAGTAAAGAATTCTCAAGCAAAACACAAAAAGCACCAAATAGAAAAAAAATTGATAAAGTGAACTCATTAAAATTAGATTCTTCTGTTCATCATAAGAAAATGAAAAGGCAATTACAGACTGGGAGAAAATGCTTACAACACATCTATCTAACAAAAGACTTGTGCCCAGACTACCAGACCACATATATAAAGAGTGCCTACAAATGAATAACAAAAAGTCAAACTACTCAAACAAAAATGGGCAAAATACTTAAAAAGACACTCCAAAAAGAATATGTACAAATGGCCAATAGCAAACAAAAAGGTACTCAACATCATTAGTTATCAGGATAAAGCTAATTAAAATGACAATGACATACAATTTCACATCCATCAGAATGACTAAAATCAGAAAGACCAACAATACCAAATATTGGAAAAGATGTAGAGTAACGAGAACTCCTATACGCTGCTGTTTGAGGTGTAAAATGGTGTATCCCCTTGGAAAATAGTGTGGCATTTCAACATAGGCTTATCCTATGATCCAGTACTTCTACTACTAGATATTTACCTAGGAGTAATTAAAACAGGTCGGCCAAGTGCAGAGGCTCACGCCTATAATCCCAGTACTTTGGAAGGCCAAGGTGGGCGGATCACTTGAGGTCAGGAGTTCGAGATCAACCTGGTCGACATGGTGAAACCACGTCTCTCCTAAAAATACAAAAATTAGCTGAGCATGGTGGCGTGCACCTGTAATCCCAGCTACTTAGGAGGCTGAGGCAGGGGAATCACTGGAGCCTGGGAGGTGGAGGTTGCAGTGAGCCGAGAATGCGCCACTGCACTCCAGCCTGGGTGACAGAGTGAGACTCCATCTCAAAAACATAACAAAACATGTCCACAAGACTTGTATAAGGTTCAGCAAGTACTTATTAGATATAAGATTAAAAACACAAACCATAAAAGAAATCAACAACTTAGGCTTCATCAAAATTTAAAACTTTTTTTTTCTTTAAAAGGCACCATTAGGGAAAAAGTCATGGGTCTGGGGAAAATATTTTCAAACTATTTATTTGTTTTTTATTTTTTTATTTTTTGAGACAGAGTTTCGTTCTCTCTCCCAAGCTGGAGTGCAGTGGTACGATCCTGGGTCACTGCAACCTCCGCCTCCCAGGTTCAAGTAATTCTTGTGCCTCAGCCTCCTGAGTAGCTGGGATTACAGGCGCATGCCACCGCGCCCAGCTAATTTTTGTATTTTTAGTAGAGGCGGGGTTTCGCCATGTTGGCCAGGCTGATCTTGAACTCCTGATCTCAGGTGATCTGCTGGCCTTGGCCTCCCAAAGTGCTGAGATTACAGGTGTGAGCCACTGCACCCAGCCCCAAACCATATATTTGATAAAGAATTTGCATCCAGATATATACCTTAAAATTCTTGAACCTCAATAAGAGGATGGTGAGAAATAATCCAGTTTTAAAATGGGGCAAAAGATGTAACTAGACGTGTCATCAAAGATGATATAGATCTATATTGATATCAATATAGATCAAATATCCAATAAAAAAGAAGACATATAAGTAACTAATAAGCACATGAAAAGGAACTCAACAGCATTAGTCATTAGGGAAATGCAAATTAAAACTGCCAATGAGACACCATTATATACCCTTTGGAATATCTATAATAAGAACGACTAACAATTTCAAATGTTGGCAAGAATGTAGAGAATCCTCATACACTGTTAGTGGGACTCTAACATTGCACAGCCGCTTTTGGAAAATAGTTTGGCAGTTTCTTAAAAAGTTAAACATAAACTTACCACATGACTCCGCAATTATACCCCTACAAATCTACTCAAGAGAAATACAAATAAGGTCCATACTAACACTTGTAGATAGCAACATTACCTCGTTTATAGCAACATTATTCATAATAGCCAAGCCCTGGGAACAATTCAAATGTTCATCAACTGGTGAGTGGATAAATAAAATGCAGTACATTTATAAAACTGTATGCTACTCAGCAATACAAAGGAACAAACTACTGATACATGCTGCAACATGGATGAACCTCAAAAATGTTGTGCTAAGTGAGAGATGCCTGACACATAAAACTACATATCCCAAGATTCCTCTTATTTGAAATTTCCCAGACAAGGCAAGAGACAGAAAGAAGTTCAATGGCTATCTGGGGCTACAGGTGGGAACTGATTGTATACTGGCAGAGAGACCAGCCTGACCAACAAAAAAATTAGGTGGGCGTGGTGGTGCATGCCTGTAATCCCAGCTGCTTGGGAGGCTGAGGCAGGAGAATTACTTGAACCTGGCAGGTGGAGGTTATGGTGAGCAGATTGCACCATTGTACTCCAGCCTGGACAACAAGAGCAAAACTCCGTCTCAAAAAAAAAAAAAAATTAGCTAAGCATGGTGGCAGGTGCCTGTAATCCCAGCTACCCGGGAGGCCAAGGCAGGAGAATCACTTGAACCTGGGAGGTGGAGGTTGCAGTGAGCTGAGATCGCACCAGTGCACTCCAGCCTGGGCAACAAGAGCGAAACTCCATCTCAACAACAACAAAAAAAAAAAGAAGAAGAAGTAAATTAGGCGGGCATGGTGGCAGGCACCTGTAATCCCAGCTACTCGAGAGGCTGAGGCAGGAGAATCACTTAAACCTGGGAGGTGGAGGTTGCAGTGAGCCGAGAACGCACCATTGCACTCCAGCCTGGTCAACAAGAGTGAAACTCAGTGTCAAAAAAAAAAAAAAGGAATTGTCTGAGTGTACCTTTTAGAATAAAGTTTACTTAATATCAGGTTCCTGGTCTGCTGGTGAGAGGAAAAAAGTATTAGAGAACCCAACAGTCTCAGACTCGTGAAGCAAAAACAAGCTTGGCAGCAATCAGGTCCGGCACATTCCAGACTCACCAAGTAGTCATTTCAGGCCTCCACCACCTGCTCCAGCTCCCAAGCCACTGGAAGACGGGTGCCGGGAGGAAAGGCTAAACTTTGTGGACACACCCTGAGGAAGGCTGCTGCCTGGTCAGTGACATCTACTGTGACTCAGGACTCAGGCCAGGAGGAAAGGAGCACCACCACCACAGGCAGCTTGCCCATCCTTCCGTCACTTCCTTTCCATTCCCCCAGGTCCCCTTAGAGTGACCCTCAGAGTTGGCTCTACACCAGCCCTGGAGGCGTGATGCGAATGAGGCATGACCCTGCTCCCTGGAGTCTGTCTACAGACCACACTACCCAGTGTCTGGGAGGGCACCATGTCAGGGCACTTTGTATACTCCTGCGGCATTTTAAGGAGGGTTTAAAACGTTCATGCCTTTTGACCCAGTGTCTGCACTCTGGTAACTTGTCATAAGGAAATAATCTGGGTTGAGGGAAATAATTACTGCGGAAGCAGTTCACTTTGGCATACTTATAATAGCCCACAGTATACCCTCCCCAGTCCCCAAAAGAATCAAAACAACTTAATGTCTAACAATAGGGAATGAGTCAAATGAATTATCAGACAGTCATAAGATGGATTACCACCTGCAGCCATGAAAGATAAACTTGAGAGAAAAACTAAATAACAGGAAAATGCTGACAATATAATGTTAAATGACAGATACAAGATAAAGCTGTGTGTAGCAGGGCTTCTCATAGGGGGATGAGATGAGATCCTGCTGATCCCTGAACCGGTGTTACTGAGGGGAGCCTGCTCTTGTCCTTACACGGTCTTACGTTAAGGGAGACAGGAGGGTGCAAACCAGTGGTAGACACAGTGGTACATCCCAGTATCAGGGAAATAGGAAAAATGTACGTATATTCACAGATCAGAGGTAATTAATGCCAGCCCACCGTGACTGGTAAGGTGGTGGCCTCAGGGACTAAGACTTCCGAAACTTGAATATAGATCTTGTTAAAAGACAGATTCTGATTCAATGTCTGGGGCAGGCCTGAGCTTTTGCATTTCTAACAAGCTCCCAGGTGATGCCATGCTGCCAGCCGACAGGCCACGCATGGAGCAAGCCTGAAGAGGACATTTGTCCTGGAGGGGGAGAACCCGGCGACACAAACAGCAACTGGTTGGTGAGAATAGAGGTACATGTTTACTTTTTACACTGTCCTGTATCTTCCACAATACAAATCTGTTGCTTTTGTGATAAGAAAGAAAACTTTCCAATGTTGAAAACCTTTGACTCAGTACTTATTTTTACAGGAATCCATCTCAAATAATGTGAAATGGGATCCAAGGTTTATGTGCATTCAAATTGGAATGATGTACAACATCAAAAAATGAGCAACAACTTAGTTCTCTAATATTTTAAAAGAATGGCTAAAAAAGCCTAAAATAGCATGCAGTCATTAAAAACATTTATAAAGACATAGGGGAATACAATGATTTTTTATTTAAAAAAAATTTTTTAATAGCTTTAGGTGTACAAGTGGGTTTTGGTTACATAGATGAACTGTACAGTGGTAAAGTCTAGGATTTTAGAGTACTCATCACCCAGGTAGTGTACATTGTACCTAATAGGTTGTTTTTCATCCCTCATCCCCTTCCCATCCTGCCCTTCTGAGTCTCCATAGTCCATTATATCACTCTGCATGCCTCTGTGTACCCATAGCTTAGCTTCCACTTACTTACAAGTGAGAACATATGGCATTTCGTTTTCGATTCCTGAGTTACTTCACTTAGAATAATGGCCTTCATGGGCATGGTGGCTCACGCCTGTAATCCCAGCACTTTGGGAGGCCAAGGCGGGTGGATCACCTGAGGTCAGGAGTTCGAGACCAGCCTGGCCAACGTGGTGAAACCCTGTCGCTACAAAAATTACCTGGACATGATGGCTGATGCCTGCAATCCCAGCTACTCGGGAGGCTGAGGTGGGAGAATCGCTTGAACCTGGGAGGTGGAGGTTGCAGTGAGCCGACATTGGGCCACTGCATTCCAGCTTGGGTGACTGAGCAAGACTTCATCTCAAAAAAAAAAAAAAAAAAAAGAATAATGTCCTTCAGTTCCATCCAAGTTGCTGCAAAAGACATTATTTTGTTCTTTTTATAGCTGAGCAGTATTCCATGGTGTGTTGTGTATGTGTATATGTGATGTGTATATATGTATGTGTATATGTGATGTGTATATACATATATCACATATTCTTTATCCACTCATTGGTTGATGGACACTTAGGTTGATTCCATATCTTTGCAATTGTGAATTGTGCTATGATAAACATATGCATGCAGGTGTCTTTTTGATATCGTCATAATGATAAATTTTAATCAAAGTATAGCAACTATGTTAAAATTCTAACATAAAATGAATTGTTTATAAAATGTTAAAATTTTTTAAATTTATAAAAAAACAAAGTAAAACAAAATAAAAAGGAAATATACCCAAATGTCAATGCCTTCAGATCCTTGGATTGTGGGTCATAAAAGACTTTTCCCTTTAAACCTTTCAGAATACAGTAAAGTTGAAGGCAGGCAGGATCAGGAGGCAAGGGCAGCAATGGAAAGTAGCTGAGGCCATAGGAAGAAGAGAAAACCTTGCGGTGAACAGGACAGTGCAGGCTTGGGGGGATGCGGTGAGGGTGTGGCAGGTACAGACTACACACTGAAACACCTGGCTGGAGTGCAGGAGAAGGACGAAGGGTTAGGTGAAGGTAGGATGGACTCTGAAGCTTTGGGTCTGCACCTGGGGCAGGAGGGAGAATCCAAAGCCTACTGCCTCTCTTCCTCCCACTGCCCCCTGCTGAAGGGGACCAGGCAAGGGCTGTCGACAGGGGAGACCTCTGCCCTGCTGCTTGGAGGGGAATCACTGGCCCTCCATTCAGCTTCCCTGGACACCATGGATGCTTTCAGCTTCCCAGCAACACCTTAGCTATCAATCTCTAAAGTGCTTCCTCCTCAGAATTACTTAAGGGCATAAAGAATAAGAACTCATGTTACCTCTCTGATACAGTAAAATGAAGGCCATTCCATGTTCTCATTTCTGGCCTGAACCTGGGTTCACTTCTGTACCTCCTCTCCTGAAACAGGCAGCCAAAGGCAATCGAAACAAATGTAAACAAACAGAAACCTGCATTGCTAGTTTAAAGATCAAACCAGATAGCCCTTTTAGGAACTATAAAATATTAAATAAACATTAGTTAACAGCATCTATATTACTTTTCCAAGTTAAAAAGTAAGCCTCTCAATGTATCTGTTCTATGATTTTACTACTAAGGGGCAAGTCAGGCATTGTACTTTGCTGTGTCTGTGTCAGGATTTCATAAAATGTTGTTAGCCCCTCACAACATTCCTATTAGATATGCTTATCCCCAGGTGACAGAAGAGGCACTGGCTGCCCAGAAGACCTGGCCTTAAACCCCTGCCAGGCGGTGGCATAGCTGAGGCTGGGACTCCTGTGTCCCAGCTAACACTAGCCCGCTCTCTCATAAGGGGTTGGAGTTTGTATCCACATGAATGCTAGGGGATTCCAACTCCTTTCCACAGTCAGTGGAGATTTTAATCCCCGAACAACAAAGCCAAAGCCCTGGCTCAAAGTCACAAGTTGTGGCCCAGTTCTCATCAATTCCAAAGCTGCTGCTGCACCAAACACCCTGTTAGCATTTGTCATGGAGAACATTTCCCTAAGGCCATGTGGGAACCCAGATGGGCAGCCCATGGCTCACTCCACGAACAGAGGTCAGAGCTCAGATGCATTTCTTCCCTGTGGTCTTTCTTCTAACATTATGTGGGGGAAATTCTCCCCAGTAAAAGTGAAAGTAAAGGAAGCAGGGCTCTAACAACAACAATAATAATAGCTAACTCACAATCCATCCTACTCCATGCCAGGCACTGTTACAAGCACTTGACGTGCCACTGAATCCTCACCGCCCTATGATGTAGGTATTATTATTACTTCTAGCTTACATAGGGGAAACTGAGGTACAAAGAGGTTTTAAAAAATGAGTCAAGGTCACACAGGTGGTGGAAGAACCAGAAATGAAACCCAGGGATCTGGCTGAGTCCATACTCAAGACTGCTTGGCCTCTCCCTGTTTGCTCTGGCTAATAACCAATTAACCCACTCTTCCTTGACAAGGGGGTTAATCATCACCTGAGGGAGCACACAGCCACAAACCTGAATCGCAGAGTTCTCCAGAAAGGATCCCATCAAGCCGCTGGTCTGGCATTCACAAAACATGTCAGCCTCTGAACTCACTTCTTTTTTTTTCTTTCTTTTTTTATTTTTTATTTTTTTTGAGACAGAATCTTGCTCTGTCGCCCAGGCTAGAGTGCAGTGGCGTGATCTCGGCTCACTGCAACCTCCACCTCCTGGTTCAAGCGAGTCTCCTCCCGAGTAGCTGGGACTACAGGCGAGTGCCACCACCCCTGGCTAATTGGTTTTTTTTTTTTTTTTTTTTTTTTTTTTTTTTTTTTTTTGTATTTTTAGTAGAGACAGGGTTTCACCGTGTTAGCCAGGATGGTCTCGATTTCCTGACCTCACTATCCACCCACCTCGGCCTCCCAAAGTGCTGGGATTACAGGTGTGAGCCACCATGCTCGGCCTGAACTCACTTCTTTTGGCCAAAACAAGCTGTTCCACTTGGAGCCCTTGTTTATTCCATGTCCGTTTACACACACACCTAGACTGACAACTCGAGTGACAAAGGCCCACAACAGCACCTGACATTTCCTGAAAGCCACCCAACAAGGTTCACTTTTGTGCCATTTCCTCTTTTCATTCTCCTCCACGGCACACGTACATGGGAAGAAAATGCAGAACTCAGGGGAAGGAAACAAAGATCTAAAGAGAAACTTCAACTGTCATGAAACTCCAGCTATTCACAGAAGCGAGAATGTTTGCCCCGTGACCCTTAACCGAAAGTTTCAAGGCAAGGAAATTAAGCCACCCTTGGACTTGCATCACAGAAACCCCTTAAGGCTGGACTATGCGGGTGCCTCAGCTCCTCATCCCTGCAGAGCTTTCTTGGGGGGCTGTGCCTAAGCAGTGTATAGAAGTGGACTTGTCATCAGCAGGAGAGTGGTAGGCAGAGAAGGATGGGGGAGAGGGGCCCTTTGCAAGTCCTAGGAACCCCTCAGAGTGGCTGGGGTCCAGCTCAGAGCAGCTACAGTGAGCTGATGCACAACTTCAGGATCCACATGGGTCCCCTGCTTAAAGGGGAAGGGTTAAAGGCCTTTTTGGTGCCCCATCCCTGCAGGACACCCTGGGGAACCGCCAAGGTGCACAAGACCCACCTGCCTACTCACAAAGACCCAATGGTGTGGGAGTTTGGAGCCATTCCTTTTCCCTACTGAGGCCTGCCCACACCTACTCCATTCTTGTCAAACTGCAGGGGGTAGCGAACAAGTTCCTTATAAGTGAGAAAATAGGCAGCATGGGAGAAAAATGACAACGCGGCTTGTATTCGTCTGACAGAGAAGCACTGAGACTAAACACAAGACTCTCATTTCCTCAAAGGAATATGCTCTTTCCCATTTTTCTCTTCTCTTTTTTTTTTTTTTTGAGATGGAGTTTCGCTCTTCTTCCCCAGGCTGGAGTGCAATGGCGTGATCTCGGCTCACCGCAACCTCCGCCCCCTGAGTTCAAGTGATTCTCCAGCCTCAGTCTCCCAAGTAGCTGGGATTACAGGCATACACCACCACGCCAGGCTAATTTTGTATTTTTAGTAGAGACGAGGTTTCTCCATGTTGGTCAGGTTGGTTTCGAACTCCCAACCTCAGGTGATCCCCGCACCTTGGCCTCCCAAAGTGTCTTTCCCATTTTTCTTGCAACAAGAGCCTCTCAACCTATATTTTGTTATTCCATTTGGGGTAGAGACACATACATAGAAAGATCTCTTACCGTTAAAAAAAAAAAAAAGTACAATCTCAGGGCTGGGGACTATTTTAGGGGTTGCTGGGGGCTGAGGGGACTGGGATGTACTACCCTTCCCTAAAGAGGCAGCTGCTCTAGTATTGCCGTTGGGAATCGTTAGGGCAGAATATTTGACATTTCCCAATTTTCAACGCTCACTCAGTGTTTTTTTTTAAGCTCTATGCTGGCCCGACAGAACATCTGTTGGTCAGATGTGACCCATGCCCCCCGCCTGTCACCAGGACAGTGGGGTGTGATAAGAAGATAGTTTGCCTAGACTACCCAATTCTTGGGCGTATTGCTCTGCTTCCTGCTAAAGGTAGTGTGAAACTGCCAGAAATAACGCAGACTGTCAAATCTGACAGAGCTGAGTTTGAATCTAGCTGCAAGACCTCAGGCAAAAACTATTAACCTCTAGCTACAACTTCCATTTGCAAAATGGACTGATAATACCCAACCTAGAGACATTTGTCAGAATTAAAAACGTGTGTGGGCCAGGCATGGTGGATCACACCTTAATCCCAGCATTTTGGGAGGCCGAGGAGGGTGGATCACCTGAGGTCGAGAGTTCCGAGACCAGCCTGGCCAACATGGTGAAACCTTGTCTCTACTAAATATACAAAAATTAGCCAGGCATGGTGTCTGGCACCTGTAATCCCAGCTACGTGGAAGGCTGAGGCAGGAGAACTGCTTGAACCCAGGAGGCAGAGGTTGCAGTGAGCTGAGATCACACCATTGCACTCCAGCCTGGGCAACAAAGCAAAAACTCTGTCTCAAAACAAAACAAAACAAAAAACAAAAATGTGTGTGAATGTCTGTAATCCCAGCACTTTGGGAGGCTGAGGCGGGCAGATCACGAGGTCAGTAGATCGAGACCATCCTGGCTAACATGGCGAAACCCCGTCTCTACTAAAAATATAAAAAATTAGCTGGGCGTGGTGGTGGGCACCTGTAGTCCCAGCTACTGGGGAGGCTGAGGCAGGAGAATGGCATGAATCCGGGAGGCAGAGCTTGCAGTGAGCTGAGATTGCACCATTGCACTCCAGCCTGGGTGGCAGAGCGAGACTCCATCTCAAAAAAAAAAAAAAAGTGTGTGAAGACTACCAGAAGACTACCATGAATTCTTTTTTTTTTTTTTTTTTTTTAAGAGAGAGAGTCTTGCCCTATCGTCCAGGCTGGTGTGCAATGGTGCAAACATAGCTTACTGCAGCCTAGAACTGCTGGGCTCAAGCCACCCTCCCCACCTCAGCCACCACCACACTGGCCAATTTTATTATTATTATTATTATTTATTTATTTTTTTTTTTTGTAGAGATGGGGGCCTCACTATGTTGCCCAGGCTGGTCTTGAACTCTTGGCCTCAAGCAAACCTTCCTCCCCTCAGCCTCCCAAAGAGCTGGGATTACAGATGCGAGCCACCACACCCAGCCCATGAACTCTTTTCTTTGGCCAATGAACTCTTGATAAATGTTAAATTTCCTTCCCTGTCTCCCTAAAGATGTGATTTAAAGCAATCTTCTTTAGATTTCTTTCTTTCTTTTTTTTTTTTTTTTGAGGCAGTATCTTGCTCTGTCACCCAGGCTGGAGTACAGTGGTATGATCACGGCTCACTGCAGCCTCAACCTCCCAGGCTCAAGCAATCCTCCCACCTCAACCTCCTGAGTAGCTGGGACTACAGGCGTGCACCACCATACCTGGCTAATTTTTATTTATTTATCTTTATTTTTTGTGGAGTCAAGGTCTCACTATGTTGCCCAGGCTGATTTCCTTATATTTCAATGTTCCCATCTGTTAAAAACCAAAATTGCCCTCTATCACCACTGCTTCGCCTCACAGGATGGGATGAGGTGATGCAGATGAAAGCGAAGTGTTTATGAATCTAGGAGAATACTGTTGACTAGATTGCCAACACTCTTTCCTATCATTTCTAGCCCAACAAGGGAGCCATTTGCTTTTCTAATGCGTTCATACCCTTAATAATGTGAATCAGGGCGAAATGGTGTCACATTTGTGGTAAGTCCTTAAAATGGCTATTAGCAATCAACTCTCCAGAGTCCAAATCTACCACTCTCCTACAGAGGAGAGTAAACATTAGTTTGGTCACTAAAGGGCCTGGCAAGTTTCTTTTCTCTTTCCATGCTTTTAGGGAACTAGAGAGGAAACTGAGGTATAAAATAAAGTTACGTGACGGTTGCATACTTCTTTCATTCATACCAAGAAAACAGAGCCACAAACCAAACAATTTCACTTCATTTAAGAACCATCATGAATTCACTGTGGTATCTCCCCCCACTGTAAGGGGATTTTTGTTGGTTGTCTCATTATTTTCCCATCACAGCAGTGAAATTAGGACATGCTTCAGCATTCCTCAACCGAATCTTAAAACATCTTTACGGCCGGGCGCGATGGCTCACGCCTGTAATCCCAACACTTTGGGAGGCTGAGGCGGGCAGATCACGAGGTCAACAGATGGAGACCACGGTGAAACCCCGTCTCTACTAAAAATTAGCCGGGCGTGGTGGCGGGCGCCTGTAGTCCCAGCTGCTCGGGAGGCTGAGGCAGGAGAATGGCGTGAACCCGGGAGGTGGAGCTTGCAGTGAGCCGAGATCACGCCACTGCACTCCAGCCTGGGTGACAGAGCAAGACTCCGTCTCAAAAAAAAAAAAAAAAAAAAATCTTTACATCCTTTAGACTAGTGAATCTACACGAGCAAGGTCTACGCCGGGGAGATTCACCGAACACTTCAACTTTTAACTGTCCCAGATCTCATCTCTTTGACTTGTTTTATCTTTAAATCAAAAGGCATTACATTCAGTTATACTGAAGCGACTAAAAAATGTGGATTTACCTTTTGGAAATATACCTCCCCTTCCTCCCTCTACTAACTTCAACAGCTCCCTCTCAGAATCACTATTCCAAAGTACTGACCAAGCATGACAGAATGAGTAGGAATTATAGGCTAAATCTGGAGAAAAGAAATCTGGAGCAAGCCTGATGAAGATATAGCTATTACTCCTTCCTTACCCTCTTTCAAGCATGATTCTTAAAAAAAATGTGTTACCACCATGCAGAACTTTTAGGAGTCAGTGCTTTGCTAAATATTTACATGTCATGATCGCTGAAGCAAACAAGATAAAGATGAAATAGGCAACACAACACAGCTAAGCTCTCTCTCAAGCAATAAGCAGCCCTCTACTCATCTTGTGCTTTGTTTTCATCATATACACTTTTTACTGAGGCATGCAATGCTTTCAGAAGTGTACATAAATCCTAAGTGCATACCGACACGTGTGTTCACTACTGCAAACTCTGTTTTTTGATGAACACAACTTGGAAGGGATTTGGGCAATTAGGAAAAACTGCTAACACGTTTTATACAATCCGCCCGACCGGAGGCAATCAACCCCCAGGCTTGCTAATGCCCTTTGTGTAAAAAAAGCTGACCTAGCCTCCACCTGCATCAACTTGATCCGCTCAGCTTTGTCACACTCAGCAAACACCCTCTGCCTTCTGAGCAAAATAAATCGGCACCTCCAGTAGGGAGAAAAAAACTTTTTATGACCGAGTCTGGAGAAGCAGCCTTGACACCCAATTTACAAAGAACGAGCGTCTGCGGAAGACCTTGCATCTAGACTCGGCTGCAGTGCCAAACCTACCTTATGCAAAAAAGCTCCACAAGTGGTGGTGTTCTGTTTAAAGGAAAATGCCAAACACACACAAATACTGAAACAATAGCATAAGGACTTCCATAACCATCATCCAGCTTCAACTATTTTTATTTTTGTTTTACTTTAAGTTCTGGGATACAGGTGCTGAATGTGCAGGTTTGTTAATAGGTATACATGTGCCATGGTGTTTTGCTGCACCTATCAACCCGTCATCTAGGTTTTAAGCCCTGCATGCATTAGGTATTTGTCCTAGTGCTCTCCCTCCCCTTTCCCCCCACCCTCCGACAGGCCCCCGTGCCTGAAGTTCCCCTGCCTGTGTCCATGTGTTCTTCCCAGCTTCAACTATTAACAATCCATGAACAATCTCCTCTCATCTTGTTCCCCTCCCTTCTCTGCTAGCATCTAAAACTGAATAATTCTGAAGCAAATCCCAAAGCTGTATTTCAACTTCAGTCTGTGTCTCTACAGGGATTTTAAAAACCTTAATCAGGATACCGTTACCAAAAGTAACTAAACAGAACTATTATAATTTCCTTGATACCATCAAATAATCAGTAGAAATGTCCTTCATCGTCTCCTTATTTATTTATTTATTTTGAGACGGAGTCTCGCTCTGCCTCCCAGGCTGGAGTGCAGTGGCGCCATCTCGGCTTACTGCAACCTCCGCCTCCCGGGTTCAAGCGATTCTCCTACCTCAGCCTTCCCGAGTAGCCGGGATTACAGGCGCGTGTCACCACACCCAGCTAATTTTTGTATTTTTAGTAGAGAAGGGTTTCACCATGTTGGCCAGGCTGGTCTCGAACCCCTGACCTCAGGTGATCCACCCACCTCGGCCTCCCAAAGTGCTGGGATTACAGGTGTGAGCCACCGCACTCGGGCATCATCTCCATTTTAAAAAACATTCATCAAATCAGGATCCAACCAACGTCCACACCTTGTATTGCCACCGAATTTCTCTTAAATCGTTTTGAAACTGCACACAGGTCCTCCTCCCTGCAATTCGCATAGCAACCAAGCTGATCCTCACTGACAATTTCCAAATAACTATAATAACTCTATTCTGGAGATATCACAAGTGCCGGTCTTAGAGCTTGTCAAATGTATACATATATGTTTATATTTATATATAAATGCACAAAAGCACACAAGAAACCATTTCACTCGAAGCAATAACAATCCTGAGAGCTAAACACTCGTTCATGTCTTTTGTGATGCTTCTCGGTGGGGGTTATCTCTGGGATTTAAGCGACACTTCCCCTTACCGGAGACATTTGCGCAAGTGTAGGACGAAGCGAGAGCGGTTCCTTCCAGCCGAACCTGCCTCCGGAGGCCCGGTCCGTGCGTTCGTCTCCGGACTGCAGGGGGCGGCCCTGCCACCACCTCGAGGCCACCTGCGCAGGTGAGAAAAGGAGTTTCAGTCTCCGGGTTCCTGGGGGTGGTCGCAGGTAATCTAGAGGGAATTTTGAGCCAGCCAGGATGGTCATCCAGGAACCTACCCGGACGCAACGGCCTCGGAAAACAAATAGCCGGGCAAGGCCCTGGGGCTTAATCCCAGTGGCGGGCGCGGGCGGGGGCGCCGTCCCCAACGCTCGAGGCCAGGGGAGGGGAGGCAAAGTCGGCCCCAATGAATGCACGCACGCGCGCGCGCGCGCGTGTGTGTGAGACTATTCACCTCTGGGCGCCAGGAAAGAGCGAAGAGTTGCATACACCCATTTCTATAACCTTGCTGGGTTTGTCATGTTTAAAAAGCATCTCCCCTGGAGAGAGGGTGGCGAGTCTCTGGGTGCGGGACACGCCCATTCCCCAGACCCCCTGCCCTCAAACCCACGACAGACCCCAGTTGCTAAGGCTCCGCGGTAATCCCCATCCCGAAGCAGGAAGGCTCGGGCGTCCGGGCTCCACTCCTGGATCTCTTAAGTAGCAGAGAACCCCCAGCCCCTGAGTTCCTGCAAAGGAAATTCCTTCCCCTCCCAGGCGCGCTGAACGCCCGGCCAGGGAGGCTGGGAGCGGCGCGGGGACCGTTCGCCGCCCCGAGGCTGGGACGCCGGTGGCGAGAGCGCCGGGCGCCCTCCACCTGCGCCCGCACTCACCCGAGGATCGATGGCTGTCGGCTCCGCAAGGTTGAGGCCCCGACACCTGCAGCGCCCGTGCCCAGGTGACCGCCCGAGGGAGGGGCGAGGGCCCAGCTCGCCCGCCTGGTCCCGCCCCGCCCCGCCCCGCCCCGCGCGCTCCCGGGAGGGGCAGGGGAGCACGGCCCCGGGACCCCGCGGCGACCCTGCTGTGGCTCAGCCGGCTCCAGACCAGGAAATGCGGGCGTCAGAGACGGGCAACCTTTGAGCGCGCACGTCCCGTCCGGGCCCAACGAAACAAGGGCCGGAGGGCGCCGCCTGCCGGCGGGACGGAAAGATATCACAGAGACTGTCACCCCCCGCCGGCTAGGAGAGGGCTGAGTTGAGGCTGGCAGAGGGACGCAGCCAGGGGTGCGCAGTGCGGGAGCCGCTTGGGGGCTCAGTGAGACCCCCTTCCTCATGCCACATCTTGAGGACCCGGCCCCTGTCCTAGGAGCTCCCCATCTCCCCAGCAGGCGGGCGAGCGGGGGCCACTGGGTCAGGGCCTCTCCTTCCCTTACCTCTGCAAATGTAAACTTGGCAGTTGTCTCCAGATAAGAGTTTACACAGGGTGGCCAGGCGGTGGCTCATGCCTGTAATCCTAGCACTTTGGGAGGTCAAGGTGGGCGGATCACTTGAGGTCAGGAGTTTGAGACCAGCCTGGCCAACATGGTCCACGTTGGTCCCCATGTCTACTAAAAATACAAAAATTAGCCGGGCTTGGTGGCACGCACCTGTAATCCCAGCTATTTGGGAAGCTGAGGCACGAGAATCGCTTGAACCCAGGAGGCGGAGGTTGCAGTGAGCTAAGACCGCACCACTGCACTCCAGCCTGGGCAGCAACAGCAAGACTCCGTATCAAAAAAAAAAAAAAAAAAAAAAAAAAAAAAAAAAAAGAGTATACACAGGGTGACAGAACTTCTTGAAACTTGTATGCTTCTAAGCAACCGCCTGCAGTGTACTGTGAATTCAGATTTTTAAATAAAAATCTGCAAATATTAAATAGCCCATATATTGCATTGCCTTTTTTGTGTCAACAGTGCTAATTTGTTGTCATTCAACAAATATTTGTTGAGCACCTACGACTTGCCGGTCATTTAAACATTTAAAATATCGAACAATTAGGCCAGCGCAGTGGCTCAAGCCTGTAATCCCAGCACTTTGGGAGGCCGAGGCGGGTGGATCACTTGAGGTCACGAGTTCAAGACCAGCCTGGCCAACATGGTGAAACCCTGCCTCTACTAAAAATACAAAAATTAGTTGGGCGTAATGGCACATGCCTGTAGTCCCAGCTACTTGGGAGGCTGAGGCAGGAGAATGACTTGAACCCAGGAGGCAGAGGTTGCAGTGAACCAAGATCACGCCATTACACTCCAGCCTGGGCAACAGAGACAGACTTCATCTGAAACAAATAAAATAAAATAAAATATTGCACAATTTCTTCCTTCTCCTCTTCACGCAGAGCCTTGAACAAGGGGAGTGTCCTGAGCCTCTCAACCTCTCTGAGTGTCATAGCAGTTAGAGATTAAAGATGACCATGTCCATACACGTTTGTATCTCTCCACAATGTCAGTCTTTTTTTTTTTTTAAATGCTATTTCAATCACAAAATCCAGGAGCTACATGGAGTTCCCAAGGAGGCAATTCTCCTTAGTCCTTCCCATTCACTCTGTAGTCAGAGCACATAGGTTCAAGCCACTCCATAAGTCAGTAAATATTGCAAACCATACATACTAGTATACTTAATCACTATACGAATGTTGTAGATTAAACATTCCACAACAAAGTAATATTTAACATCAAGACGAAGAAGAGGAGAAAGGGTTAATGAACCAGTCCAAAGGGAGGGAAGAAGACAAAGGGAGTCCTGGTCTGGGCCTGGTGGTCTTGCAAGGAAGAGTCTTTGATGTGGCAGAGCTTTCGGTGGCAAATTCTGAGTTCTTATCATGAGTGACTGCAAGACGGTGTTAGTGAAGACAGCCAAGCTGAAGGCTTCGCTCTTTTACAGTCAGAGGGTCCTCTGGTGAGAACTTATAGTGGATGAGTGTGCTTGTTTGTGTTCTTTTTTAAAATTTGTTCGTCAAGCAAAACATCTTATCCTTGTTAGCAAAGTGCCCATGAAATATAAAATGGAGGGTTTTTCTAAGATGGAATTAGTTACCTCAAGGGTGGTTTATACACTGAGAGTCTGGACTAGCCTTGCAAGGAACTCAGTAATTGCCCAAGGGTGCAAGAAGAACCCTGATAGAATTAAGTGTGGGTTGCTAGGGAGACTGAGGAGCAGCTTCACCTGGCCTGGAGTGGCAGAGAGAACTTCCTGGAGAAGTGCAGAGGCCAACTGAATCACAGAGGAGTACCGGGTTCAACGGGATGTGAGGTGCTTCCGCCAAGATTCCAACGTGTGCAAAGTGGGAAGTGGAAAGCCAGGCAGAGAGTTCATGTTCTAATAAGGGAATGGCAAGTGGGTCAGAAGACCTGAGAGGGAGAGGATGGGAGTTGAGTTAGAGCAGAGGGCATGGGGGCCAAATCATACTCATAACAAAAATAACCATCATCTAGGGAGTGGATAGTATAGAACAGGAGCTGGACATACATAACTTCAAACGAGCCTCACGCCAACCCTGCAAGGTAGGGTTATTACTCTCCTTTATAGAAGAGGAAAATGAGAGCCGGGCACAGTGGCTCACACCTGTAATCTCAGCACTTTGGGAGGCTGAGGTGGGCAGACTGCATGAGGTCAGAAGTTTGAGACCAGCCTGGCCAACATGGTGAAACCCCGTCTCTACTAAAAATACAAAAATTAGCCAGGCATGGTGGCGGGCGCCTGTAATCCCAGCTACTCAGGAAGCTGAGGCAGGAGAATCACTTGAACCTGGGAAGCGGAGGTTGCAGTGAGCTGAGATCACACCATTGCACTCCAGCCTGGGCGACAAGAGCGAGACTCTGTCTCAAAAAAAAAAAAAAAAAAAAAAAAGAAGAGGAAAATGAGACTGAGACCCAGGAAGGAGAGACATATTGCTAGTGACAAGGCTGGGGTAGGGTAGCTCTGAGCAGCCAGGCTGCCCTGTCAATGCCTCTCTCCAGGCGGATCTGGGAGGCTGGATTTATCTTCAAATACTTTCAGCATCCCCAAGTGCCTGCCACTCTCCCACCATTTCTTAAGCCGATGTCAACAACTGCCCTGAAGTCTCTCTGTCTAGAGATGATGTGTACATGGGTCCGCATACCAGACTCCTCCTGAGGGGAACTCTGTCTCAGGGGCTGGTGGAGGAACTGTGGCAGACAGAGACCTTGGTTGCTCCCCACTGTCCATTCTTTCCTTCTTCTGTAATAAAGTCATGTGCTGCAATGACATTCTGGTTAACAATGGATCACATCTACAACAGTGGCCTCACAAGGTTAGAATGGAGCTGACAAATTCCTATCACCTAGTGATATCTTGATGATACTGACCCTGTGTAGGCCTGCACCTTTGTTTTTAAGAAAAAAAGTTTAAAAGGTAAATAAATGCATTTTCAAAATGGGAAAAATAAGCTTATAGAATAAGAATAGAAGAAAATATTTTTGTACAGCTGAAACGTATTTGTGTTTTAAGGCGTATTATTACAAAAGAGTCAAAAAGTTAAAAAAAAATTTAAAGTTTACAAAGTAAAAAAGTTACAGTAAGCCAAGATTAACTTATTGTTAGTGTAGCCTAAATGTAGTGTTTATAAAGTCTGCGGTAGTGGACAGTAATATCCTAGGCCTTTTCATTCACTCACCCACAGCAACTTCCAGCCCTGCAAGCTCCATTCATGGTAAGTGCTCTATACGGGTATACCGTTTTTATCTTTTATATTGTATTTTTACTGTGCCTCTTCTATGTTTAGAGACATAAATTCTTACCGTTGTCTACAGTATTCAGTACAGTTGCCTACAGTATTCAGTACAGTCACATGCTGTGGAAGTTTGCAGCCTAGAAGCAATAGGCTATACCATATAACTTAGGTGTGTAGTAGGCTATACCATCTAAGTTTGTGTAAGTACACTCCATGTTCACAAAATGAAATTGCCTAAAGACGCATTTCTCAGAATGTATCCCTGTCATTAAGGGGCTGTAATAGAACTGAAGCTAAGCCCAGAGCTTCGTGGAACAAAGACTATCTTTCCCTGCCTCCTTGTAGCAAAATGCATCAACAGTGGTGCCCAGAGCTCCTAGAAATCCAGAGTCCAGTGGTACTTCCGAGGCGGCTTCTCCTCTCCCGACATCCCTGATCCGTCAGTTCTTTACGGGGCACTGCTAACTGCCTCCTCAAATCCATTCTCGCCTTCTTAACTTCTAAGAGAACCCAGATTTTGTACAGGGAGGCAATGTGCCAAGCTAAGATGCCCACTTTCGCGAGGTCATCGCAGGGGTGATCACATGACATGGTTCTGGCCAATGAGATGTAGGAGGAAATGGTCCCGTGACACAATTCTGGCCATTGAGATATAGGAGGACGTCAGCTGGCAAGTCCTGGGAAGGTTTTTGCTTTCCTGTTGCGGGTACTACCCCTTTTCTCAGCCTCCTGTTTCCTTCCTGCTTTGAGGTTGCTGTGAGGTTGCCTTGAGGCTGGAGGTGGAGCAGTAGTCTTAGACTCTGGGACAGCCCACAATAAAGGTGGAGCCGCACCCACCTAGCTGTGCCTAGCTCCAGATGTCTTACTACACGAGAAAAGCAACCCCCTTACTTGTTTAAGGTCAGGGTTTGTTCCATGGAATTGAATATAATCCCACTAGATATACTATTGTTCCCAAAGAAAAGCCTTGTCACCTAAAAATAAAATCCTAAGCCCCCCACCGACTGAAAAGAACCTCTCTTGGCCAAGGGGACCCCAGAAAAGCCTTAAACTGAGTTCCTGGCCATGACAAGATGGGAGGTCAACCACATCTCATTATACCCCTCCCTTTTATGGTTTAGACACAACTGACCAGCATTAATGTTAAAATAGAGATCATAAGGCTGACAGAATAGACTCTTTGTGGCAATAAGATACCACATTATAAACAGGACATAGGCCTGTGTTCTAACTATATTATGTGAAAGGAAAATATCTTGAGGCCCCCAAATCACTAAGCTAAAAGGAAAAGTCAAGCTGGGAACTGCTTAGGGCAAACCTGCCTCCCATTCTATTCAAAGTCACCCATTAGTCACTGGCTAGTATAAATGAAAGAGCCTAATCAGAGGCTAATCAGAAACTCAAAAGAATGCAATCATTTGTTTCTTCTCTACCTATGACCAGGAAGCCTCCTCTTTCTCAGGTATCTGTGTGAAGAGACCACCAAACAGGCTTTGTGTGAGCGACAAGGCTGTTTATTTACCTGGGTGCAGGTGGGCTGAGTCCGAAAAAGGAGTCAGCAAAGGATGGTGGATTATCATTAGTTCTTACAGGTTTTGGGATAGTCGGTGGAGTTAGGAGCAATGTTTTGCGGGCAGGGGTGGATCTCACAAAGTACATTCTCAAGGGTGGGGAGAATTACAAAGAACCTTCTTAAGGGTGGGGGAGATTACAAAGTACATTGATCAGTCAGGTTGGGGCAGCAATAAATCACAATGGTGGAATGTCATCAGTTAAGGCTATTTTCACTTCTTTCGTGGATCTTCAGTTGCTTAAGGCCGTCTGGATGTATACGTGCAGGTCACTGGGGATATGACGGCTTAGCTTGGGCTCAGAGGCCTGACATCCTCCCTGCTTCAAGTTGTCCTGCCGTTCCAGACCGAGCCAATGTTCATCTTACATGTGTTGACTGATGTCGTCTCATGTCTCCCTAAAATGTATAAAACCAAACTGTGCTCTGACCCCCTAGGGCACATGTGGTGAGGACCTCCTGAGTCTGGGTCGTGGGCAGGCATGCATCCTCAGTCTTGGCAAAATGAACTTTCTAAATTAACTGAGACCTGTCTCGGATTTTTGGGGTTCACAATTATAAGGGTTTTCTTTTTCTGTAGCAGCTAAACAAGCACTGACCTTGAGATAAGCAATATTAAAACTATTTGCGGCTCCGTCAGATGCTAATTGATCCTCAGCCCCTGTCCCATCAGCCGTAAAACCACAGCTTTGATTGGACAAGAGACTGATTTCAGTAACTTTCTCTTAATAAGACCACTGACCATGGACTGGTTCTAGTTGGTTTACAGAGGTCGTGCTCTTTTTTGTATCCTGAAAAGATACTTTGATGTGTGTGTCCGAATTGTAATACATTTCAATGTTAAGTATCCACTCCAAAATGAATGTATGTTACATGCATGTTTGTTCAGTACGTGTGCATCAGGACTACCATGAATATTCATTGTTGGGAACAGGCCCTCCAAAATCTGGTCATAAACTGGCCCCAAAACTGGCCATAAACAAAATCTCTGCAGCACTGTAACATGTTCATGATGGCCATGATGCCCACACTGGAAGGTTGTGGGTTTACCAGAATGAGGGCAAGGAACACCTGGCCCACCCAGGGCGGAAAACGGCTTAAAGGCGTTCTTAAACCACAAACAATAGCATGAGCCATCTGTGCCTTAAGAACATGCTCTTGCTGCAGACAACTAGCCAAACCCATCCCTTTATTTCGGCCCATCCCTTTATTTCCCATAAGGAATACTTTTAGTTAATCTACAGTCTGTAGAAACAATGCTTATCACTGGCTTGCTGTCAATAAATATGTGGGTAAATCTCTGTTCGAAGCTCTCAGCAGCTCTGAAGGCTGTGAGACCCCTGATTTCCCACTCCACACCTCTATATTTCTGTGTGTGTGTCTTTAATTACTCTAGCACTGCTGGGTTAGGGTCTCCCTGACCGAGCCGGTCTTGGCAATTCATAGCTCCTCCTGTAACCTGTTGAATATGTATGTTTAACCAACCCTTTGAGGAGCTTTATTTTAATCTCTCCTCCTTCAAAGTGCCTGTCTCTGATCTTGGCCAGAGGCATGCTTCCCAGCCTGCACAGTGGTCGCCTTGAAGGCTGTAATCCTTAAAAAAAAAAAAAAAGTCTCCTTCACCGTTTCTAATTTTTTTTTTTTTTGAGATGGAGTCTTGCTCTGTTGCCCAGGCTGGAGTGCAGTGGCGCGATCTCAGCTCACTGCAAGCTCCGCCTCCCGGGTTCACACTGTTCTCCTGCCTCATCCTCCCAAGTAGCTGGGACTACAGGCGCCCGCCACCATGCCTGGCTAATTTTATTTTTTGTATTTTATTTAGTAGAGACGGGGTTTCACTGTGTTAGCCAGGATGGTCTCGATCTCCTGACCTCATGATCCGCCCACCTCAGCCTCCCAAAGTGCTGAGATTACAGGCGTGAGCCACTGTGCCTGGCCAATCTTTTCTAAATTTATAAATCGTGTGATTTTTTTCAGTTAACAACCTTAAAAGTCAATCTAGCCAACCTTACTTAATACAGGGCGTTATAGCAGGAAAAGGATGTGCTTTGACATAAGACAACCCAAGTTCGAGTTTCAGACCTTCCATTTATACTAGCCAATGACTAATGGGCAAGTTTGTGGAATTAAGGTATGTATTCTAAAATGAGAAGTTGTAAAAACAAGAAGACATAATGCCTGGCATTTGGCGAGTGACTAATAAAGGATCATTGAGATCATTCTTATCTACCAATTTCCAGCCTCCACCAAATTGTTCCCTGACCAATTTGTAGGTTGTGAATCACATATTAATGTCCTGGTTTCACCTCTTAGACAAATCTTTTTGCCTATTCGGATCTTAGATGCTTTGTCACAGCAAACTCAATCTAAAATTTCATTAAAAACCACTATTTGACTCGCATCTTGTTTCTGCATTTCCTAAACTATATCTGTCCTATCAAAAATGTTTCAAAGGAAAAGAATAGAAGTATATGCTTTGTTATGTCTAGTCACGAATTATTACTGGTACACTAGTTTAAGAGGTACAGGTGCATATTTCTATTTGGCTCATAATTATTGTTTTTTCGTTTTTTTTGTTTTTTGTTTTTTGAGATGGAGTCTTGCTCTGTTGCCCACAATGGAGTGCAGTGGCGTGATCTTGGCTCACTGCAACCTCTGCTTCCTGGTTTCAAGCGATTCTTCTGCCTCAGCCTCCAGAGTAGCTGGGATTACAAGCGCCCGCCGCCATCCTGCCTAAGTTTTTTTTTTATTTTTAGTAGAGACGAGGTTTTGCCATGTTGACCAGGCTGGTCTTGAACTCCTGACCTCAGGTGATTCACCTGCCTCAGCCTCCCAAAGTGCTGAGATTACAGGTGTGAGCTGCTGTGCCTGGCCCCTCATAATTGTTTTTGAAATAAGAAACTTTCATGTCAGTGCTTCTAGGTTTGTATTTTTAATTGCCAAACAAGATATTTTAATGGTCCCAAAACATGCTTTTGTTGAAGTTGAGTAACATTAAAAATTAATGTTATTCACTTGGCTTTTTAATTTAAAAATTAACACATGCTTTCAATCACTACAGAAGCTTTTAAGTAAAAAAAAAAAAATGGATATATCATATGTTTAACTGGTCTTCTATTATTGGATATTTAGGTTATGTCTAGTTTCTCTCAGTTATAAACAACATCTCTTGAACGTGTTTGTCTTTGCACTTTTGCCTCTTCGTGTAATCTAACCACTTATCCCCACTCCATTGTTTTCCCCCCAGGTCCAAGTCGCCATCCATCTCTTGACTGGATAACTGGAATAGCCTCCTAAATGCCTTCTGTGTTCGCCTTGCCCTTCTTCAACCCATTCACAATGCAGCGCATTTTAATATGTTAATATTTCTCTCTTTTCTCTCTGCTTAAAACCTTTCAATGTGGCTGGGCGCAGTAGCTCAAACTTGTAATCCCAGCACTTTGGGAGGCTGAGGCGGGTGGATCGCTTGAGCCCAGGAGTTCAAGACCAGCAACATGGTGAAACCCTGTCTCTACAGAAAATATAAAAATTAGCCAGGCAGAGTGGTACGTGCCTGTAGACTCAGCTACTTGGGAGGCTGAGGTGGGAGGATTGCTTGAACCCAAGAGGCTGAGGCTGCAGTGAGCCATGAGTGTGTCACTGCACTCCAGCCTGGGTGACAGAACAAGACTCTGTCTCAAAACAACAACAACATTAAAAATTAATGGCTTCTCACTCATTCAGAGTTAAAAACCAAAGTCCTTACAACGGCCAGCAAAGCTACAATGTCTACCCCCAGTGCCATTATTCTCTGAACCATCTCCTTCCATACTCCAATCTTCACTCTTCTCCAGCCACACTAGTTTCCTTGGCAATTGTTCTAATATGTTTGGTAGGCTTTTGCCTTAGGGCCTTTGCACTTGCTGTTTCTTCTTTTTGGAATTCTCTTCTTTCAAATATTATGTTACTTAATTCCCCACCTCCTTCAGGTCTTTACTTACATATGAGTCTTCCCTGACCACTGATCGCAAATTAAAAATTGTCTAATACCTCCTACATCCTTTCCTTGCTTTCTCCTTCGAAATAGCGCTTCTCATCTTCTGACATACTGTATATTATATTTTACTTTCCTCATTGTCTATCTGCCCTCCACTCTTCCATCCAGAATGTAAGCCTCATGAAGGTAGGAATTTTGGCTTGTTTTGCTTATTGCAGGGTCTCCAGCATGTAGCACAGTGTTTAATACATATTCGTTGAACAAATGAAAATGACTTTAAATATGTAAGATAATTTCCTTTAGAAGTAGAATTTCTGGGTCACTGAGATTCATGTTTAATATCTTAATTGATACCACCAAATTGCCGTTTCAAAGGTTGGGACACCATTCCTACCAACTGTGTATAAGCATCCATACACTTAACACTTTGACCACATACATCTTTCTTAATTTTTTTTTAAAAGATGGGGTCTTACTGTGTTGGCCAGGCTGGTCTCAAACTTCTAGCCTCAAGCAATTCTCCCACCTCAGTCTCCATAAATGCCAGGCTTACAGGCATGAACCACTGTGCCTGGCCTTTCTTAAATTTCATTTGAATGGTTTATCAGTCAGAGTCTTAATGACAAACAACAGAATCCATAGTAAAACAGAATCTACAGAAAAATTCTTTTTAACAAGGAAGCCCACAGAATCTCTGGAAGAAACAGAGAGCCAGGCTTGCCTCTGCAGAGGGGAGCAATGCTGAGCCATGCTTTGGTGGCTGCTCCAGTGAAGGCCCCACTGTTGGTGACTGTTGGCCCAGAGGCCTAGCATGCCCTCCTAGACTACCTGACTGTGTTTACATTGACAGTGTCAACCCTGCAACTCATTCTGCTCTGCAGTTTGTAATTCTTGCTATTGTTTACCTCAGTTTTGTCAGGGGAGTTCAAACCAGAGCAACTCCATCTTGAATAGGGGCTGGGTAAAATGAGGCTGAGACCACTGGGCTGCATTTCCACGAGGTCAGGCATTCATAGTCACAGGATGAGATAGGAAGTCACGAGATACAGGTCATAACAACCTGTATCTCAACAGGATAACAGGATGTGGTAAAGAAGATGGCCAAAACCCACCAAAACCAAGATGGTGATGAAAGTGACATCTGATCATCCTCATTGCTCATTATACATAAATTATAATACATTTGCCTGCTAAAAGACACTCCCAACAGTGCCATGACAGTTTACAAATGCCATGGCAATGTCCAGAAGCTACCCCATATGGTCTAAAACGGGGAGGAACCCTCAGTTCCAGGAATTACCTGCCCCTTTCCTGGAAAGCTCATGAATAATCCACCACTTGTTTAGCATATAATCAAGAGATAACCATAAAAATAGCCAACCAGCAGCCCTCAGGGCTGCTCCGTCTATGGAATAGCCATTCTTTTGTTTCTTTACTTCTCTAGTAAACTTGCTTTCACTTTACTCTATGGACTAACCCCAAATTCTTTCTTCATGAGATCCAGGAACCCTTTAGGAGTCTGGATCAGGACCCCTTTCCAGTAACCTCTTGATATTTAAATGGGGTCAGTACTCACTAACAATCCATTAAAGCAAAGTCTTTTCCATTCTTGAATTCTTTATCTTGAACTGTCTCTTGATTGTCTAGATTTTGCAAGTAACTTTTCCAAGAGGGGTTGATCAGTGCCATATTTCCTGAGTACTGTTTTTCCTCATATCTATCTATATTATATATTATTCTATCATAATCTAATACATTGTTCTTCCATATTATGGATAACCACTCTCTTTTCTTTTATCTCTGCCCTCTATATTTTTCTTAACCCTGTTTTCCAAGTCATGGATTCTTTTTTCAGCATTTCTATGCTTCTTACTGCTTCTATTGTGATTTTCATTTCCAAAATACTTTAATGTTATGTATCATTTTTTTCCTTACTGAAGCCGATTACTTCATCTTCCTCTCTGATCTCTCATACTTCCTTCTGAAGCTCTTTGGCAAATAATCTTTTTTTTTTTTTTTTCTTTTTGAGACAGGATCTTGCTCTATTGCCCAGGCTGGAGTGCAGTGGCATGATCTCGGCTCACTGCAACCTCCGCCTCCCAGGTTCAAGCTACTCTCCTGCCTTAGCCTCCTGAGTAGCTGGGATTACAGGCATGTGCCACTACACCCAGATAATTTTTTTGTATTTTTAGTAAAGAAAGGGTTTCACCATGTTGGCCAGGCTGGTCTTGAACTCCTGACCTCAAGTGATCCACCCGCCTCAGCCTCCCAAAGTGCTGGGATTACAGGCGTGAGCCACCGCTCACAGCCCCTTTGGCAAAGATTTTATAGGTTCCTTTTAAATTCTTTGAGAGTGAAATCTTTTTCTTAAATATTCTTCTGTGTGTCACTTTTAAAAACTGTACTATGCATACAACTTAAATTGCATTTCTTTTCTGTGTTTATCTCATATCTACATGCAAACAATTGTATCTGGTTCTTTTGTTCTTTTGTTGAAAAACAGTTTGGAGAGGGTCAGTTTATTGAGCTGGAGTAGCTGACAACTTCAAAATGAAAATGCTGCCTTAGAACACTCTCCCCAAATTATGTTGTCTTTTTTTTTTTTTTTCAGTAGGACAATTTCCCTTCAGTTGAGCAAGCTGTCCAAGTAGGAGGTTGTTGTGGACAACTGTAAAGATTCCTAGATAATAGGCCAGGTGTGGTGGCTCACGCCTGTAATCCCAGCACTTTGGGAGGCCAAGGTGGGTAGAGAGCTTGAGGTCAGGAGTTCGAGACCAGCTTGGCCAACATGGTGAAACCCCATTTCTACTAAAAATACAAAAATTAGCTGGGCATGGTGGCTCACGTCTGTAATCCCAGCTACTTGGGAGGCTGAGGCAGGAGAATCGCTTGAACCTAGGAAGCAGAGGCTGCAGTGAGCCAAGATCGTGCCATTGTACTCCGGCCTGTGCAACAAGAGTGAAACTCTGTCTCAAAAAAAAAAAAAGATTCCTAGATAAGAGATATTTTGTCTAGGGATTTTATGTTTAACTCTGCTTAATGGACTGGTCAGCACCAGCAAAGCCGGTTTTGATTTCTTCTCTCTTCTTACTCCCGTCTCCAAGCACCTTTGTTAAGTTAGAATCCAGAGCACAGAGAAAAATTACTAATGAATTCAATTGTATCATCAGCCCCACCTTCCTCATCCTCAGTTCTCATTTTCCTTTTGGTCTCCCCACAGTTGTGTTGCTGTTGGGTTTGGTTTTTTTTTGTTTTGAATGGTGATCATTTATGGAAGGTTAACATGGGCCATGCATGTTTTTACATGTATTCCTCATTCAGTCCTTAAAACTATCCCAGACTTTATGATGCTCATTTTTATAGACGAGGAACCTGAGGCACAGAGAAATTGAATAACTTGCTCAAGTCACACAGCTTGTAAATAGCAGAACCAGGTATTGCGTGTCTAGAGCCACTGTACTCTACCACGTTGTAACCTCTCAGGAAATGCTAACATACTTTCTACTCACTATAACCTTGCTCAAGATCTGGAGAGCCACATTTCATCATAGTCTGGGGTTTGGAGGTTGTCCTTTTTTGTAGAAGGACTTGTCTAACTTTTTTTTTTTTTTTTTTTTTTGAGACGGAGTCTCGCTCTGTCGTCCAGGCTGGAGTGCAGTGGCGCGATCTCAGCTCACTGCAACCTCTGCCTCCTGGGTTCAAGCGATTCTCCTGCCTCAGCCTCCCGAGTAACTTTTTAATTATTGTTGTTGGTCTTCTTTTGTTGGCGATTTCATGGAGAAGCCCAGTATATATGCACTGTACTTCAACTTTTGCCAGAAGTCTTTAGTAGCATTATTTTCGGGTAAATTGCAAAATAGCTGTTTACTCCTGTCGATGAAAAGAGTCAAACTCTGTAAAATATTCTAAGAGATTTATTCTGAGCCAAATATGAGTGGCCATGGCCTGTGACACAGCCCTCAGGAGGTCCTGAGAACATGTGCCCAAGGTGGTGGGGGTACAGCCTGGTTTTATATGTTTTAGGGAAGTATGAGACATCAATAGAAAACATTTAAGAAACACATTGGTTTGGTTTGGAAAAGCAGGACAACTCAAAGTGGGGCGGGGCGGGGGTTGCTTCCGGGCTGTAGGTAAATTTAAACATTTTCTGGTTGACTGTTGGTTGAGTTTATCTGAAGACCTGGCATCACCAGAAAAGAAATGTTTAAGTTAAGATAAAGGGTTGTGGAGACCAACTTAGCAGACTGCAGAGAGAGCAGGTTGTAAAATGTTTCGAATAGGACCTAAAAGGGTACCTGGCTCTTAGTTGATTATCTCCTGGATCTGGAAAAAAAGGAAGGAAAACAAAGTAGAAAGGGGATTCTCTATAGAATGTGGATTTTTCCCATAAGGGATGGCTTTTCAGGGCCATTTCAAGATATGGCAGAGAAACATGTTTTGGGGTAAAATATTTCGATTTTCTTTCTTGTTATGCTAGAGTCAGATTGGAAAGTAAGTCACAATATACAGGGTTAAATAAACCCCATCTGATGAGAATTTATGGTTTGTAGGGCATGACTCCCCAGGCTCCTTAGATAGGAATTTGGACAAGAGAAAAATCAGAGCTTAGTCCTTACTCTCTTACCCTAGGCGCTTTAGGGCTGTTCTGTTCAATATGGTAGCCACTAATCACAAACTAGTGTATTTAACTTATATCACATATGGCTACTAAGCCCTTAAAATATTAAGCCCGTCCAGATTGTAATATGCTGTAATTGCAAAATGTACACCGCATTTCAAAGACTTAGTACAAAAGAAAAAATATAAAATATCTCGATAATAACTTTTATATTGATAGTACTGGAATGATCATATTTTTAATATATTAGGTTAAATACAATGTACGGTTACAGTTTATTTCACTTGTTTCTTCTTACTTTTCAAATGTGGTGACTAGAAAAGGTAAAATTACATATCTGGCTCACATTAAACAATGCTGCTCTAGGGTTTCTTTTCATCCAGCAATGGCTTAGTTAAGACAGAGGAGGCAATATGGATCCACGAAAAAGTGTCTGTGTGAAGCAGGGTGAAGAGTACGTGGGGGTTGATTATATTACATGGTCTATTTTTGCATATGATGGAAATTTCCCTTAATTAAAAGTTAAAAAGCAAACTCCCAAATATGCATAATTAATACAGAATTTTTTTTGCCATGGTTTAAGTTCCAAGCATGTAACTCATCTGAACAATTTATCCGTTTTAAAATATAATGAATTTCCTCTTGACTAGATCCCATCTGTAGGAGGTAAGCCAACAAGGTGTACTGCACAAGAAGAAAAGAATGCAGAGCTTTCAGTCTGGCCAAGAAGACAGGCTAGGTTCAAGGTAGGCAGTAGCTTCACACCTTGAGAGTTTCTAGCTTATTTCTCTCTATAGGAAATATTTGGTACAAAGTCCAAATTCAATGGTTAGTGCCTTGGACCCATAGGAACCTAGCCTTATCAGTAACAGGTTTCACAACATCTGCTATTTTCCTATGAAAGTGTACACACATAACTATGAAACCAGGACATGAAGTGGGAAGCAGTGATTAATTAAAAAGTGTCCTTTGTTTTATTTTTTTCTTGCAGCAGTACTCGAAGATTGCTTGTTAACCCCAGCATAGAGGGTAAGAGTATACCCTTGGGGTCAGACTCCCTGGTTTCAACTCCTGGGTAACTTAGAAAGTGTTACCTAAATTTTCAACGTGTTGGTAGACTTTTTCCATCTGTAAAATAGGAAGCATAAGGTAAGTCTCAAAGGATGTTGTAAGAATTCAATGAAATCATATGTGAAAAATGCTTTCACCGTACTTGGCCAAAAAGAAGGACCCAGTAAATGTTAGCTGTTGTTTTATGGCAAATTTTTGCTTATTTCTAGTTGTTTGACACTTTACAGATTCCCTGGCTAATGAAATATTCTGCCTTCTACATATAGTATGAGAAATGACCAATTATCACAGCATTAAATGGCTGTCTTTATCTCTAGACGCAACTCTTGAGGGCAGGATCTGTGTAGTTAAATAAAAATTACGGGGGGCTATTGTTTTGGGCTAAGTTTCTGCACTAGGCTCCAACAGACCAGACTAAAAATCAGAATGGAGTTAACTTTGATAAAGTTCCACATCACCAAATCCAAACTAGGTTGTTGTCTGACCTTCCGAGAAATCAGGAGAGATAACAGCCAGTTTCTCATACAGGCCCGGTTAAATCTCTGCTTTAACCTTTGTACAACAGAAGTAGCCTGAAGTAACCTAATATTAACTAATCAGTTATTTTTCTATTATTCTGTCTTCCTGTCCCCACCTTACAAGAAAAGTGGCTTTGAAAGGATCAATGCAATTTTCATTCTTTGCTTGTGCTTTCTTCCGTCCTTCTTTGTCTATAAAGCCAACCTCATCTGCTCAGCTTATCGGAACACTTACTCTGTTTTATGGAATGGAGTGTTGCCCAATTACAGACTCTCACATAAAGTCAACTGAGCTCTTTAAACTAAGTTTGTTGTAGTTTTTTATCATTTTGCAGTGTATTATTTATCTTTGAACCTTCAGTGTCTAGCATAATATGCAGCTCAGAATCTTTTTAAAAAGTCGTATTGACTGTAACAAAATACACCTAAAATTAAAGGCCTGGGCATTTTTCTTGTGGTTATAACAGGTTTAAGACACTGGTCTAAGTATATAAGCAATTTATAATGTGAAATGCATGTGGCTTTTGTATTTACCTTTCTTGGGGATGTCATTCAACACATATTTATTAGGTGCCTCCTATACAGAAGGTATGGAGCTGTGCACGGGGTGCTTCAGCAGGGTACAAAACAGACATGGTTCCTATGCCATAGAGCTAATTTTTAACAGGGACGGCAGCTTTACATGATTAACTACAAAATTATGTATTGATAATTTCAGGAGAAGCAGAAGGTGCCAAGAGAGCAAGGGGACACCTAGCCTGAGCTGGGGGCCTCTTGAGAAGGTGATATTCAAAGTGATAGCAAAGACATGAGCAGCTAAAGCCCAGCAAACAGGGTGAAAGAAGATGATAACAGGCTTTCTGGGCATTGAAAGCAGCCTGAAGGCCGCAGGGACCGAAAGAAGCAACATGAATGTTGAAGGAACTGAGGGAAGGCTGGCTTGCCTAGGTCTCAGTCTGGGGAATAGCAAGCTAGAATCTGTAGTTGGAGAAGTCAGCAGAGATCAAGGACCTGGCAAGCCCTGTGAAGGATTTTGAGTTTTATTCTGAATCCATGAAAAGACTCCCCTTCCAATGCGATGGCTTCTGGAATTTGCTTCCAATAATCCAAGAACGTTGGGGAGAGTGGGTGGGGTATATGTGAAACAAAATTGGCCATTCATTGATAATTGAATGAAGCTGGGTGATGAGTACATGGGTGTTCATTATATTCTCAATTTTTGTGAATGTTTTAAATTTTTCATAATTAAAAAAAGGAAAAAAAAATCCCTCCAGCTACAGTGAAGAGAAAGGACTGTAGGGGGCGAGAACAGATTGAGGGGACCAGCCTTTGCTATAGACCGGGTGAGAGAGATGAATCTTGAACTAAGGTGGTAGCAGCAGGATCTAAGGGAAGTGAGTAGATTCTAGTGATGCTGGGAGCTTGAATAGATAGAACTTGGTAATTGATTAGATGTGAGGGACAGGAAGTGGGAGATGAAGCTCTCATGTGAACAAGTCATGTGCCAAGGGCGGATTTTGGTACAGCTTTTTTTTTTTTTTTTTTGAGACAGTGTCTCGCTCTCGCTCTGTTGCCCAGGTTGCAGTGCAGTGGCACAATCTCAGCTCACTGCAGCCTCCACCTCCTGGGTTCAAATGATTCATTCTCCTGCCTCAGCCTCCCAAATAGCTGGGATTATGGGTGCACACCATGCCTGGCTAGTTTTTGTATTTTTAGTAGAGACGGGGTTTCACCACGTTGGCCAGGCTGGTCTTGAACTCCTGACCTCAGGTGATCCACCTACTTTGGCCTCCCAAAGTGCTGGGATTATAGGCATGAGCCATTGCGCCCAGCTGAGCCTGCTGTAGTCTTAACACTTCCTCCCACTAACTCCATCTATCTACCATCTAATTAGGGTTTAATTTAATTCAGCAAACATTTTTAGATTCTTACTGTTGCCAAGTACTGTATGGGAGATGTGGGGAGGGGTAAAGAGGAACATGCAATTATAAACACACTAAGCTCTCATTAGTTGTCTGTGGTGGGAGAGCCATTTTATATACATTACCCATAACCCTCACAGCATCCATGCAAAGTAGACATTATTTTATATTTTATAGATGAGGAAACGGGTTTGGGGAGGTTATGGAACCTGCCTGAGGTCTGAGATGGAAGTCAAGTTCAATTTTTGGCTCTAATGCTTGAGCTCTTTCCCCTACACAAGTACTGAAAATGCAGATAAAGAAGTTCCAAAGAAAATTCTATTCATTTCAGTTGTTTTTCTCAGATTCACACTGAGGCTGAAAACCATAGTTTCATGATCCCAAGCTAATGCTAACATGCTACCTGGAAGTTAATATACGAAAATCTGAGATGGGTCAAGCCAGTTCACCATTTCCATCATAAAGAGCCACAGTTATCTCTTAATCAAGTTAAACTATCTTTCCCCATATGGTATGTTTAACCCTTTAAGTCCAGTTACTGGAATGAAGTTTGAGAGTTTCATGTGTTTCTTCTCTGAGGACAGGACCATTATTGTTCCAAGGCTAGCCGCAGGCAAGATATCTAGCACTTTCTCTTCCCTGCTGTGATTCAAGTGGTTGTAGAAGATAACTGCTTTGTCAAATATTTATATACCTGTGCTTATTTATTTTTAAAATCTAGGCGAATATTTATACAGTAAAATATATTCAAATGATAAGCTTATGACAATGACATAGGTAAAATATAGTGACAAAATTTTCCTCCTTAACCTTTTAAATTTGTAATTTTATTTTTTATTTACTTATTTTTTTTTTTGAGACGGAGTCTTACTCTGTTGCCCAGGCTGGGGTGCAGTGGCGTGATCTCGGCTCACTGAAACCTCTGCCTCCCGGGTTCAAGTGATTCTCATGCCTCGGCCTCTCAAGTAGCTGGCACTACAGGCATGAGCCACCATGCCCAGCTTATTTTTGTATTTGTAGTAGAGACAGCATTTCACCATGTTGGCCAGGCTGGTCTCAAACTCCTGACCTCAGGTGATCCACCCGCCTCAGCCTACCAAAGTGTTGGGATTACAGGCATGAGCCACTGCGCCCTGCCAACTTTTTTTATTATGGAAAATTTTAAACATGCAAAGAAAAAAAACTAGAATAGTATAATAAGCCCCTGTGTTCCATTACCCAGCTTCAACAATTATTAACTCATGGTCAGTCTTGTTTCATCGATATCCCACCCACTTCCTCCCACACATTTTGTTCTGAAGCAAATCCCTGACATCATATCATTTCATCCGTAAATATTTCAGTATGTACTTGTAAAAGATAAGACTCTTTAGGGACCAAGTGTTTTGTCAAGCATTTCTTGAGACTGATCTGTGGGAAATTTGCCAAAAAAAAAGTGGCTCAAATGTTTTGCAGAAAGCTGCACTTCTTGGAGGGGTGGGGAGTGAGGTTGGAGGTGATGGTGAAGTCCACAGTGACAGCCTTTGGGTGAGGGTGTGACCGGTCTTCACAGTGTCAGTGCCCACTTAGGGAAAGTCAGTCCTATCTATACTTTGTGAAAACCAGGACTTCAAATCTTGGACCACTCTCTTTGTTATTAGCTTTCTACTACCTTTTGCACCTGCAGTGTTTGCAATGTCCTTTCCCAAAGGTTAGCTCATTTTAATTAAGACCAGTAACAGGGCCATCGAGGAAATGCACTGACTGTAAATACCTTGAGGGTAGAGTCTGGATACATAATTGTATCCCTGCAGTACCTTGCATAGCACTTAGCCCATAGTAGGTGCTCAGATGAGGTTGTCCAATAAAGGAAGGGAGGAAAGAAGGAAGGTATAACTAATTGAAAGAATGCCAGAATTTTAGAAATGGTCAAATATGACAATAAGTAAGACAGCAAGAAAAATAAAATCTATGAAGAGGCAGAGGCCGAATAATGCCTCCCCTCCCAAAGATGTCTGCTTTTGAATCCCCAGAACCTATGAATATGTTACCTTACCTGGCAAAAGGATTTGTGCAGATGTAAAAAAGTGAAGAATCTTGAGATGGGGAGATATCTTGGATTATCCAGATGGGGTCACTGTAATGGCAAGAGTCCTTATAAGTGAAAGAGAGAGGCGAGAGAGGCAAGAGAGTCTGAGGAGATGTGAGGATGGAAGCAGAAGTTGGATTGATGCTTGTACTGGTTTTGAAGATGGAGGAAGGGGGCCATGAGCCAGAGGAGGCGGCAGCCTGTAGCATCTGGAAAAGGAAAGGAAACAGATTCTCCTCTAGAGCCTCCAGAAATCGACCTGGCTGACACCTTGATTTTAGCCCTGTGAGATGTATTTTAGACTTCTGACCTCCAGAACTATAAGATGATACATTTGTGTTATTTTAAGCCACAAGTAGATATTTGTCACAGCAGCCATAGGAAACTGACCTAGAGAATTTAGACAATCTTGTCTTAGTTTTTTTGCAAGATACGTGATGAAGCCACTACAAACCAAGGCATAGCAGACTCTATGGAAAGTGGCCGGGTGCAGTGGCTCACACCTGTAATCCCAGCACTTTGAGAGGCCAAGGCGGGCAGATCGCCTGAGGTCAGGAGCTCGAGACCAGTCTGGCTAACATAGTGAAACCCTGTCTTTACTGAAAATGCAAATATTAACCAGGCATGTTGGTGGGTGCCTGTGATCCCAGCTACTTGGGAGCCTGAGGCAGGAGAATTACTTGAACCCGGGAGACAGAGGTTGTAGTGAGCTGAGATCGTGCCATTGCACTCCAGCCTGGACAACAGAGTGAGACTCCGTCTTTTTTTTTTTTTTTTTTTTTGAGGTGGAGTCTCACTCTGACGCCCAGGCTGGAGTACAGTGGCGCTATCTCGGCTCACTGCAAGCTCCGCTTCCCGGGTTCACGCCATTCTCCCGCCTCAGCCTCTCAAGTAGCTGGGATTACAGGCATGTGCCACAATGCCCGGCTAATTTTGTGTTTTTAGTAGAGACAGGGTTTCTCCATGTTGGTCAGGCTGGTCTCGAACTCCCAGCCTCAGGTAATCTGCCTGCCTCGGCCTCCCAAAGTGCTGGGATTACAGGCGTGAGCCACGCCCGGCCCAAGACTCCATCTCAAAAAAAAAGCAGACTCTATATGAGTTTAGAATATATTCCTAAGGCAATCCTGTTGTCTCTACACTTGACACGGAACTATCGAGACATATGATACTGTGGCACGTGACACAGAACTATCAAGGGATCGGCACGGGTTGGTGTAGTTTAACCCAGAGATTCAATTCAAATGATGTCCCCAGAATTTGGCTTCTCTCAATCTCTCTTCTCTGTCCTTCTTCATGTTGGCTTCATTCTCAGGCTTCACGTGGTGGTAGCCTATCTGGACTTATAGCTTCCACACAGGTTCTGGAATTTACTATGATTAGACTCATTTGGGAATGACTTAAATAAGGAGTGACATTGAGCTGGAACTTAAAGGAAGAATGAGATTTGTGAATGGTTGCCCAAAAATAGCCTGAGCAAAGGCATAAGGATATGTGAGAGCTTGGAATGTTTGGGGAAGTCCAAAATTCTAACTCTTCAGAGGTATGTGTGGTGGGCATTGGAGGAGGTGAATAGTGAAGTGGCCAATTTTTATCCAGAATTTTAGATGGCATCCCTACCCAATCTACATAATTTTGGCGAACATCATTCCTCCTACTCTCTCTACTTGCTAAGGAATGACATAGATTGCCAGAAAACAACTACCAGAAGCTAAATGAGAGACATGGAACAGTTCCTTCCCTCACAGCCCTCAGAAGAAACCAACTCTACTGATGTCTTAATTTCACACTTCCAGCTTCCAGAACTGTGAGACAATACCTTTCTGTGGTTTAAGCCACCTAGTCTGTATTACTTTGTTATAGCAGTCTTAGCAAACTAGTATGGAAGGGAGAGCACAGATAAAAGATGTGTTATCAATCAAGTCACCAGTGTGAGCAAATAGATCCTAATCCCACTGGAGAACTCTGGCAGACAGTGTAGAATGTACAACTCAAAATTATCCTGCCAGACAGACCCCAACAGTAATGGGTAAAGATTTGAATAGATATTTTTCCCAAGAAGATATACAAATGGCCAGTAAGTACAAGAAAAGATGTTCAACATCATTCATCATTAGGGAAACACAAATCAAAACCACAATGAGATATGTCACACCCACCAGGATAACCACAATTAAAAAGACGATAATAACAAATGTTAGTGAGAATGTGAAGGAATTAGAACTCTCATTCATTGCTGGTATGAATGAAAACTGGCATAACTGCCTTGGAAAACAGTTTTCCAGTTCTTAAAAAGTTAAACATAGAGTTATCCTATGACCCAGAAACTCCACTCCCAGTTGTTACATACCCAAGAAGATTGAAAAAAATATTCGCATGAAACTCGTACATGAATATTCACAGCAGCATTATTCAGAATAGCCAAAAGCGGAAAAAAAATCCAAGTGTCCATCAACTGATGAGTGGTTAAACAAAATGTGGTATATCCATGCAATGAAATAGATTTCAGCAATAAAAAGAAATAGATTATTGATATATGGTACAACATGAATAAATCTTGAAAACATTATGTTAAGTGACAGAAGCCAGTCATAAAAGCCCACATATTATATGACTCCATACAATATGTTTTATATAAAATTTATATAAAATTTCCAGAATAGGCAAATCCATAGAGATGGAAAATAGATTAATGTTTGCTAGCAGCTGGTGGGAGGGTGGAATGGGGAATTACTGCTAATAAGTACAGAATTTTTGTTTGGAGTGATGAAAATGAACTGAAATTAAACAGTGGTGATGGTTGCGCAGCTATTTTTAGTTAATATACTAAAAACCACTGAATTGTACACCTTAAAAGTATGAGCTTTATGGTATGTGAATTATATCTTAATAAAAATAAGAGGGACAAAATATTTTTAAAAAATTTTTATCCTGCCTGGGGGTGGAGGGAGCTGGAGTATTTATCTACCATCTTCTAACCATCATTGGTTTGAAGAATGCTCTGGGGATATATTTGATTCCCTGGAGCTTGTGGCCTGATTTGTGTAAAGATTTCAGAACCAGAGAGAGCCTTCAGGCAAAGATGTGCGAGTGTTGACACTTGGAAGTTGGGCACATGTATTTTTAGGAGCTATCCTTTCCAAAAGTGTAGAAAGTTCTCTATGGCTTATGGGCAAGTGTCCTTGCCTTCTGGGCTTATACAATACTGACTTCTTGTTGGTCTGTCTTCATATAAGTCAAAAGTAATCCCTAAACTTGAAAGTTGAAGGATTATATATGAGGGCTTTCCATGAAACATTTATTATTCAATTGATTTTGAGATTAGCCACAGTTATCTTAGCTGCAAATGGTGGAAATCAACCCTGACTAGAATGACCATACAGTTATGCATCGCTTAACGATGGGGATACATTGAGAAAAATGAGTCATTTGGTGATTTTGTCTTGTGAACATTATCAAGTGCACTTACACAAACCTACTGTAACCTACTACACACCTAGGCTATACGGTAGAGCCTATTGCTTTTAGGCTACAAGCCTGTACCTCATGTTACTGTACTGAATACCATAGGCAATTGTAACACAATGGTCAGTATTTGTGGGTCTAGACATAGAAGAGATACAATAAAAATATGGTATAAAAGATAAAAAATAGTACACTTATATGGGGCACTTGCCGTGAATGGAGCCTGCAGGACTGGAAGTTGCTGTGGGTATCAGTGAGTGAGCGGTGAGTGAATGTGAAGGCCTAGGACATCACCGTACACTACTCCTGTAGACGTTATAAACACTGTACATTTAGGCTATATTAAATTTATAAAGAACTATCTTTGTTCAATAATGAATTAACCTTAGCTTACTGTAGCTTTTATTTTATAAACTTAAAAAATTTTTAAGTGTTTTTGACTCTTGTAATAACACTTAGCTTAAGACACAAAGACATTGTACTATCGTACAAAAATATTTTCTTTTTTTTTTTGAGATGGAGTCTCTCTCTCTGTCACCCAGGCTGGAGTGCAGAAGCATGATCTTGGCTCACTACGACCTCCACCTCCCAGGTTCAAGCGATTCTCTTGCCTCAGCCTCCCAAGTAGCTGGGATTACAGACGTGCACCACCACGCCTGGCTAATTTTTGTATTTTTAGTACAGTCGGGGTTTCACCATGTTGGTCAGGCTGGTCTTGAACTCCTGACCTTGTGATCCGCCTGCCTCGGCCTCCCAAAGTGCTGGGATTACAGGCGTGAGCCACTGCCCCCGGCCTATTTTCTTTCTTTATATCCTTATTCTGTAAGCTTTTTTCTCTTTTTATTTTCAATTGTTTAAACTTTTAAAGTTTTTTTGTTAAAAACAAAGACACAAACGCACACATTAGCCTAGGCCTACCCAGGGCCGGGATCATCAGTGTCACTGTCTTCCACCTCCACATCTTGTCCCACTGGAAGGTCTTCAGGGGCAAAAACATCCATGGAGCTGTCATCTCCCATGATAAGAATGACTTCTTCCGGAATACCTCCTGTAGGACCTGCCTGAGGCTGTTCCACAGTTAATTTTAAAAAATATATAAGTAGCAGGAGTACAGTCTAAAATAATGATAAAAAGTATAGGATAGCAAATACATAAACCAGAAACATAGTCATTTATTATCAAGTGTTATGTACTATACATAATTTATGTGTTACACTTTTTTTTTTTTGAGACAGAGTCTCTCTCTGTTGCCCAGATTGGAGTGCAGTGGCGCCATCTTGGCTCACTGCAACCTCCGCCTCCTGGGTTCAAGCAGTTCTCCCTGCTTCAGCCTCCCGAGTAACTGGGATTACAGGGGCCCACCACCATGCCAGGCTAATTTTTGTAGGTTAGTAGAGACGGGGTTTCGCCATGTTGGTCCAGGCTGGTCTCGAACTCCTGACCTCAGGTGATCCGCCTGCCTCGGCCTCCCAAAGTGCTAGGATTACAGGTGTGAGCCACAGCGCTCAGCACGTGTTACACTTTTATATGACTGGGAGCACAGGTTTGTTTACACCAGCATCCCCACAAACACGTGAGTAATGTATTGCACTACCACATTATGATGGCTATGACATCACTAGGCAATAGGAAATTTTCAGCTCCATTATAGTCTTATGGGACCACCATCATATGTGAGGTCCATCATTTACCAAAATGTCATTATGCAATGCATGACTATAATAAAAAAAGATGGTTAATAACAAGTGTTCATGAGGACATGGAGAAATTGGAACCCTCATTCATTGCTGTAAAAAGAAAATGAATTTATTGTAAAAGTTTCAGTGGCCCCAAGACTTACTGGAAAAGCTGGAGAATCAGGCTCAAACGGTGGGAAAGAACAGAGGAAACCACACTGTGAGAACCAAAGCCAAAGTCAGGACACAGGAGGTGTTGCCAGAACACTGGTGCTTCCTTCAGCAGTGCAGGCTTGAAATGGTTACCTTCTCACACAGCGGATGAAGCCAGCATTAGGCAGGATTTTTAATCCGGGGCTACCTAAATCCAAAGCCACACACTCTTTTCTGAGTTTTCAATTTCTTTATAAGTAAAATGAACACAGAAGGCAACTATGAATAATGATGCCACAAGGGATTTAGACAGCGTCCCTAAGTGCCAGATGCAATTTAAGAGGTATTATTATTACATACAGCCAGAATCTACAATCATATCTCTGTCTCAAACAACTAATAGCCGAGGTTGCCAGGCAATTATATTTGTCAGGCACGAGTCTACAGTGAGCAGGTAAATGATCTACACCCCAGACACAATAAAAGATTTAGTCCCTCCTCCCTTTTGTACTAATCTCCAGCTCAGATTTTCTGATCCTATTCTGTTTGCCTCCATTTCGAAAGCCCTTCCCTCATCCTGTATTTTTACCACCTGGTTCTATGTGTCACCAAATCTTCCTTATTTGCAGTCAGCTTTGTGAAAGAACTTTCAATGCTAGTTACTCTAGAACAACAACTCTCACACGTTTTGGGCTCAGGACCTTTTAACTACTTTTAAAAATTATTGAGAATGCCAAAGAGTCCTGTTGGTGTGGATTATTTGCTGCGGTTAGAAATTAAAACAGGCAGCTAAGCGTGGTGGCTCATGCCGGTAATCCTGGCACTTCGGGGGGCTGAGGTGGGCGGATCACGAGGTCAGGATTTCGAGACCAGCCTGACCAACATGATGAAACCCCATCTCTACTAAAAATACAAAAATTAACCTAGTGTGGTGGTACGTGGTGCCTATAATCCCAGCTACTCGGGAGGCTGAGGCAGGAGAATAGCTTGAGCCTGGGAGGCGGAGGTTTCAGTGAGCCGAGATCACGCCACTGCACTCCTGCCTGGGTGACAGAGAAAGACTCCGTCTCAAAAAAAAAAAAAAAAAAAAAAAAAGAAAAGAAATTAAAACAGGCAGTGGCTCACCCTGTAATCCCAGAGCTCTGGGAAGCTGAGGTGGGAGGATTGTTTGAGGCCAGGAGTTTGAGCCCAGCCTAGGCCACATAGCGAGACCCTGTTTCTACGAAAAATTTAATTAGCTGAGTGTGGTGGCACATGCCTGTAGTCCACGCTACTCAGGAAGCTGAGACAGGAGAATCCCTCGAGCCCAGGAGTTCGAGTTAGAGTGAACTATGATCATGCACTGTACTCCAGCCTGAGCAACAGAGTGAGACCTAGTCTCAAAATAAAAGAAAGATTAAAACATAAATTTTTAGAAACAATAATAAAAGAGGACACATTAACAGAAATAACATGTCTATGAAAAATAACTTTTTCAGAAAGAAAATGTTTGTGAGATGAGTGGCTGTTTTACATTTTTAACAAATCTGTTGAATATCTGGATGAATAGAAGAAAGCTAGATTCTCATGTCTGCCTCCGCATTCAATCTGTTCCCATATCACACTGGAAAACTCCACTTATGCTTGTGAGAGAATGAGAGTGAAAAGGCAACAACATCAGTATTATTACGAAAATATTTTGACCTTAAAGATATTCTGGAAAGAGACAATCAGGAAATCCCCCATCACAAGTTGAAAATTGATGCCATTTTTTTTTTTTTTTTGGAGATGGAGTCGTGCTCTGTTTCCCAAACTTGAGTGCAATGGTGTGATCTCAGCTCACTGCAACCTCTGCCTCCCTGGTTCAAGCAATCCTCCTGCCTCAGCCTCCTGAGTAGCTGGTCTTATAGGTACACGCCACCACGCCTAGCTAATCTTTTTATATTTTTTGTAGAGACAGGGTTTCATCATGTTGGCCAGACTGGTCTTGAACTCCTGACCTCAGGTGATCCGAGGCCACCTTGGCCTCCCAGAGTGCTGGGATTACAGGTGTGAGCCATGGCGCCTGGCCCCAATGCCATTTTTGATGCTCTTTTTCCCTTTGTGTGGATTCATTTTTCCATCTGTTAAGAAACTGTAGCCAGGTGTGCTGGCTCACACCTGTAATACTAGCACTTTGTGAGGCAAAGGTGGGAGGATTGCTTGAACCCAGGAGTTTGAGACCAGCCTGGGCAACATAAGGAGACCTCTTCTCCACACACACACAAAAATTTTAAATTAGCCAGGTGTGAGCAGGAGCGGTGGCTAACTCATTGTAGTCCCAGCACTTTGGGAGGCTGAGGTGGGCTGATCACCTGAGGTCAGGAGTTCAAGACCAGCTTGGCCAACATGGTGAAACACCGTCTCTACTAAAAATATAAAAATTAGCCAGGCGTGGTGGTGTGCACCTGCAATCCCAGCTACTAGGGAGGCTGAGGCAAGAGAATAGCTTGAGCCCCGGAGGTGGAGGTTGCAGTGAGCCTAGGTCGTGCCACTGTCCTCCAGCCTGGGCAACAGAGTGAGACTCTGTCTCAAAAAAATATTAGCCACATGTGATGGTGCACACCTGTGGTCCCAGCTACTCAGGAGGCTGAGTGGGAGAATTGCTTGAGCCTGGGAGGTTTCAGCTACAGTGAGCCATGATCGCACCACTGCACTTTAGCTTGGGTAACAGAGTGAGACCCTGTCTCAAAACAAAACAAAAAGCCATCAAACTGTCTTCCAAAGTGGCTATACTATTTTGTGTCTCCACTAGCAATAAATAAGAGTTCCTGCCGTTTCCCATCCTTTCCAGGATTTGGTGTTGTCAGTGCTTTGGATTTTGGCCATTCTAGGCAAGATGGGGAATGTTCAGGGTGGCATGGCCGTAGGTTATTTTGGCCATTCTAATAGGTATGTAGTGGTATCTCACTGTTTTAATTTGCAGTTCCTTAATGACATATGATGTAGAGCATCTTTTCATAGTTTTTTTTTCATCTGTGTGTCTTCTTTGTTGATGTATCTGTTCGTTTCTTTTGCCCATTTTTATATTGGGTTGTTTCATATCTTATTAAATTTTGTGAGTTCTATGTATATTTTAAATACAAATCCTTTATCAGAGAGGTGCTCAGCAAATATTTTCTCCTGGTCTGTGGCTTGTGTTTTCATACTCTTTTGCAGAGGATAAGAGTTTTTTGTTTGCTTGTTTTTGTTTTTTTGGTAGAGATTGGATCTTGTTATGTTGGCGAGGCTGGTGCCGAACTCCTAGTCTCAAGTGATCCTCTTGCTTCTGAGAGATCAAGTGCTGGGATTACAGGCATGAGCCACTACGATTAGTTATAAGTTTTTACTGTTAAGGAAGTCCAGCTTAACAATTTTTTCTTTTGTGGATTGTGCTTTTGTGTTGTATCTAAAATTCATTGCCAAATCGGAGGTTTAGGTTGGGTTTTTAGTTTTTATTTTTATTTTTGAGACGGAGTCTCGCTCTGTTGCCCAGACGGGAGTGCGGTGGCAAGATCTCGGCTCACTCCAAGCTCCGCCTCCCAGGTTCAAGCAATTCTTCCGCCTCAGCCTCCCAAGTAGCTGAGATTACAGGCATGTACCACCATGCCCGGCTAATTTTTGTATTTTTAGTAGAGATGGGTTTTCACCGTGTTGGATAGGCTGGTCTTGAATTCCTGACCTCAACTGATCTGCCCGCCTTGGCCTCCCAAAGTGCTGGGATAACAGGCGTGAGCCACCGTGCCCGGCCGAGCTTGGATTTTTAAAAAGCCACTGAATTGTGAGTGATTTGTTACACAGTATTGTTTTTACAAAGGCTAAAATTGATGTGTAATCCTTTAAATTTATTCAAAGCACAAAATTCGATTCAAATAATTTTTTTTCCACCCAAACATTTCTGGAAAGGCAGCTAATACATCTGCTTATTAGATTTCAAGGCAGTCACTTCAAGTCATCTTATTGTTTTAATTTATAGTTTTTGAAAATTAAAGGGGGTGAGAGAGATTTGAGACATTTGTTCTGATTTTCCCTCAGCTCTCCACTTCTGGAGATCCACTTTTCCAGTTGCTTTTAGCTGATAGTGACATTCTCCTGTTGCCTAAACCTGAATCTGCTGTTCCATCTTGGGAACAGTCCTTCAAGTTCCCAAGCTTCTGATTATTATCAGCTTTGAAGTTCTGCTGATTTCCTGCTGTTAACCCAAAGACAGATCCCTTTACACTTTCTCCATTCTACCTCCAAACAGGGCATTTGTCCTGAGATGTGACAGCACCTGCCTGCTCGTGTGGAGTGATCATCTTTGATGTTTGTTTACATCTTTGTTATTCATGTAGCTAATTTGGAATCAGACAAGACCTGAACTGGTCAATGTTTCAAGAAAATTATTGTCAACCCTGCTGCACTCAAAAAATGGAATGCCCGGCCCAGCTCAGTGGCTTATCCCTATAATCTGAGCATTTTGGGAGGTGGAGGTAGGAGGATCTCTTGAAGCCAGGAGTTCAAGACCAGCGTGGGCAACACAGTGAGACCGTGTCTCTATGAAAAATAAACATAATTAGCTGGGCATGATGTTGTGTGCCTGTAGTCCCAGCTACTCGGGAGGCTGAGGTGGGAGGATCACTTGAGCCTCAGAGGTCAAGGCTGCAGTGATCCATGATGGTGACACTGCATGCCAGCCTGGGTGACAGAACAAGACCCTGTCTCAAATAAATAAGTAAATAAATAAATGCCGGAATACTGTGGTATTAAATAGCATGCAGTTCAAGCAGGTGAAATGAAAAGACATGTATAATAAACTTCAGGCATTTATGACGCCAGCATTAGAAAAATGCTTGTAAGCATGCAGCTCTCCATGTAATGATGTGGGAAGATTCTCCAAGACATAGTGTTAAGTGACAAAAAGTAACTTACAGAAAGGGGATTTAATATGTGTCTTTGGATTAAAAAAGGAGTGGGAAAGGAAGGGAGTAAAAATAAGAACCTATATTTATACTTTAATATATGTGCATAAAGAAACTCTGGGCTGGGCACGGTGGCTCATGCCTGTAATCCCAGCACTTTGGGAGGCCAGGGCGGTCGGATCACCTGAGGTCAGAAGTTTGAGACCAGCCTGCCCAACATGTCAAAACCCCGTCTCTATTAAAAATACAAAAATTGGCTGGGCGCGGTGGCTCCCGCCTGTAATCCCAGCACTTTGGGAGGCTGAGGTGGGCAGATCACGAGGTCAGTAGATCGAGACCATCCTGGCTAACATGGTGAAACCCCGTCTCTATTAAAAATACAAAAAATCAGGTGGGCGTGGTAGCGGGCGCCTGTAGTCCCAGCTACTTGGGAGGCTGAGGCAGGAGAATGGCGTGAACCCAGGAGATGGAGCTTGCAGTGAGCCGAGATCACGCCACTGCATTCCAGCCTGGGCGACAGAGCGAGACTCTGTCTCAAATAAATAAATAAATATAAATAATTAAAAAATAAATTAAAAAATATAAATAAAAATACAAAAATTATGTGGGTATGGTGGTGGGCGCCTGTAATCCCAGCTACTAGGGAGGCTGAGGCACAAGAATCACTTGAACCCAGAGGCGAAGGTTGCAGTGAGCTGAGATCGCACCACTGCACTCCAGCCTGGGCGACAGAGTGAGACTCTGTCTCAAAAAAAAAAAGAAACTCTGGAAGGGGGTGAAGTGGAAGGGGAAACTGGGAAGATGCAGGGTAAGAAAGAAATGTTTCGCCTTTTATAATTTTTTATTTTTGAATCGTGAATATAATAAAAAACATTAAACTTTTAAAATAGAAAGAAAAGAGAAAGAAGAAGCTCTTGAAGACCTCTGAAATGCAGACGCTGGCAAGTTCCCACATAGGACTCTTGATTTTCTCAGTCTACCTCTTCTGGCCTCAGTTCCATCAGTCAAACACAGTCCATTTTTTCCATGTGTCTTCAGTTTCTCTCCCCAGCTTCTCCTTCTTGTGTGCATTCAGGTTTTCAATATCACCACGAACAAGTTCAAGTCATTCCTACCCTTGAGAAAAGGGGCTCTTTTAATCCTGCTGTCCCTCTAGTTACTTACATTGTTACTCTTTCCCCTCTCAGCCAGGCATTTTGAAAGATTGCGCTCACATCTCACCACTTCCTGTTCATTCACTCTCGACCTTGCTGCTGTCTGGCTCTTCCCCAGCCTCTGATGAAACTGCTCTTGCAAGCACTAAACTGACCTCCATATCGCAAAGCCCAATGCAATCCCTGCTGCATTTGACTCCACTGTTAGTAGCTTCATTCTTGACTCTTTCTCCATTGGCTGGTCTCACTGCTTTCCCTGCTTAGCTTTTACCTCTCGGAGTTTTTCCTCCAGCCTCCTGATGTGCTTCTCTATCTCTGCTCTGAAATGATGATGTCTCCACGATCCAACCTTGACTCAAGAGTCTTCCCTCTCTATTTGGCCTTCTTATTAATATCAACCACTTTCATGATTTTATCCACCAGCTGATGGTTGATCTGATGACTCCACAACTGGAGGCTCTAATTCTGTTCTTTCTCCCACCTTCACATTATTATATATATCAGTGGCCTGCTGGACATTTGCATCTGGTTGTCCCATTTTAACATAACATATTCAACACTGAACTACCAAACTAGATGCTCTTCTAAAGTCTCACAGTTTTCTTTTGGTCCATCTAGTTGCTCAGGCCAGAAACCTGGGATCACCCTAAATTCTGTCCTCTCCCTCTCCACAATCCACCTTTGCATCCTTTATCTTCTTAGTTATTCCTGCATCCACCCCATCTCAACCCCGCCTACTACCACTCTCCTCCTGAGATCATAAAGGTCTAAGCTAATTGAGAAGCAAGATGGTAGAGTCAAGAGACTTTTAACATACTTTAGTAAGTAAAGGATAATTTTGAGGTAGAGTGAAGAGACTTTGGTGACTAATATACATGCGTGGGGACTCAGGATGACTGAATTTTTAGCTGGGTCAGCTGTGACTTAGGGTCAGAAAGGGGAGCAGGCCTGCAGGGATGGAGATTAAAGTTCCATTAAAGTTCCATTTGGACATGTTAATATTGAGGTGCCCATGGGACTGAGACTCATAGTGAAAGTCCAGGTTGGAGCAAAAGATTGAGGGTCACATTTGAAGCAAAGGAAATGAATGTAATTACCCAAGGGAGTGTTTCAAATGAGCATGTACCAAGGAAGGAGTTTTGGAGACTCAAAGTTTCAGGAGCAAATAGAGAAGAAGGAGTGGCCAGAAGTAAAAAAAAAAAAAGAACCAGGAAAAAAGCCATGTCCTGGATGCTGAAGGAAGAAAGAATTTTATTTTATTATTATTCTGAGACAGGGTCTCCCTTTGTCACTCAGACTGGAGTGCAGTGGCAGGATCATGGCTCACTGCAACCTTGACCTCCTGAGCTCAAGCTATCCTCTGCCTTAGCCTCCTGAAGTAGCTGAGACTACAGGTGTATGTCACCATGCCAGGCTAATTTTAAAATTATTTTTGGGAGAGAGGGGGGGTCTCACTATGTTGCCCAGGCTGGTCTTGAAGTCCTGGGCTCAAGCAATTCTCCTGCTTCAGCCTCTCAAAGTGTTGGGATTACAGGTGGGATCCACCACACCAAGCTTGGAAGAGATAATTTTAAGAAGGTGAGAGGTGAAGGTTTGGATGCTGATGGTGAGGAACGATGCAGGGATAAAGTGGGATAAAGGCTGAAAAGAGGTTATTTGGCTCAGCAGTTGGGTGAGTTTGTACTCATTCAAATATTTCACTATTTGGGGGACTCTGCCTCTCACTAAGAATCTGAGAGGTAGCCGGGCACGGTGGCTCATGCCTGTAATCCCAGGACTTTGGGAGGCTGAGGCGGGCGGATCACGAGGTCCGGAGATCGAGACCATCCTGGCTAACACGGTGAAACCCCATCTCTACTAAAAATACAAAAAAAATTAGCCGGGTGTGGTGGCAGGCACCTGTAGTCCCAGCTACTGGGGAGGCTGAGGCAGGAGAATGGCATGAACCTGGGAGGTAGAGCTTGCAGTGAGCCGAGATGGCACCACTGTACTCCAGCCTGGGTGACAGAGCAAGACTCCATCTCAAAAAAAAAAAAAAAAAAGAATCTGAGGTGAGGGTAAATACTTCTTTTTTTCTGAATGAGAAGCCAGACCCCTTGATCCAAGCTCAACCAGTGGATGCTGCCATGGAGGACTTTGACTCTTGGAAGAGTGATGCAAAGAGTTGGGGCAGTCAGACCAGTCAAGGCAGAGGTGCAGCGAGAGGATGCAACAGCAATGAAGACCTAAGTAGCTTGTTCTGGTGGCTGGTCCTGGGCTGTCGGATATTTCCTGGTTCCTTTCTGTTTTCTAAGCTTTCTTTTCCAGCCTTCCTTTCAATCTTGGGAGCCATTTGCACCCTTCCCTAGAAAATCCCATTTCTGCTTCCTCTAGCCAGAGCTGGTTCAGTTCTTTGCAACCAAGAACTCTGAGATGTACAGAGATCTCAGCAGGAGTAATTTCAGAAGTTGGGTACAGGAACCAGCTTGCAGTGGGTTAAATTGAAGTGGAAAATAAGAATTATTAAAAAAAACAAGGAGCGATATGAGAATGCTTGGACACAGGGCAGGGAACATCACACACTGGGGCCTGTCAGGGGTTGGCGGGGCTGGGGGAGAGATAGCATTAGGAGAAATACCTAATGTAAGTGACGAGTTGATGGGTGCAGCAAACCAACATGGCACATGTATACCTATGTAACAAACCTGCACGTTGTGCACGTGTACCCTAGAACTTAAAGTATAATAATAATAATTAAAACAAAAACAAGGAGCGAAGGGAGAGAGAAAGGCACCTAAGAGAGAAGCAAGGCGGACAAAAGTTAGTTGTTGGAAAGGGAGGTCAGCAGGGCAGAAACCAGTGAAAAAAGCCACCAGAGTAAATTTCTTCCTCGCCTTGACATTTAAGGTCTCCTACAATATGATCCTTACTTGGGTTTCTAGACTCAACCCCCAATATTCCCTATGATTAAGCCACTCAGGACCCTTCATATTTTCCACAAAATGCCCCATTGTCTCTTTTGGTTTGCTTGTTTGTTTTTACTCAGGATATAACCTTGGCCTGAGGTGTGCCCACAGATTAGCCTGTCGATCCCACTGGTCCTCAAAGGCCTGTTTCTGATCCCTCAAATGAAGTGATTTCCTCTGACTTTAAAATTCCCAAGGCAACTCATACCTCTCTTATCATCTTAATCAGATCATGTCCTTGAATTATATGAGCTGCTTCCTGGCTGGGACTGTTTTCCCTGTGGCACTCACAGGAGGACTCACACAGGAGGTGCTCAGCATTCACTAGCGGATTCACAGTGAAGTGAACAGCAACATTCTTAGCAGGGACTGAGTTACAATGGTTAGAAGAGTTCTCTGGAAATTATTATTCTAACCAGTAGCATGTCCTCAGCAGACAATGGAGGCTCTGTTCATCAATGTTAGAATGGGGAGTTGAAGAAATGGAGTTGTACTTGGAGTCTCACTGTGTGGGAAACCTCATAATCATCAGTTGTGGGTCATTCTCCCATCTGGGGTGTCATTAGTAATCTGTACAAGGATCATGAAGGAACTGCTCCTATATACATTATGGATCTCACAATATTGAAAAGTCCAACACAAAAGACTCCATAATATGATTCCATTTACATGAAGTTCAAACACAGGCAAAACGAACCCATAGTGTTAAAAGTGTACATTGTGGGAGGCGAGGAGTCAGGTGGCTGAGAGGGTTCCCCCGGGTCTGGGAGTGGGGGTTCTAGGAGCTGATGTTCTGCCGCTTGGTCCAATGGTTACATGGGTGTGTCCACTTTGTGATAATTCATTGAACCATATACTTATGATTTGTACACTTTTCTTTAGGTATATTACATTTTATTTTAAAACATTAGCTGTGCATATGTTATGCCATAAAAAGATTGTAGTGAAAAACAAAAATCAATCAGGTGTTTCAGATGCTTAACTTTGAGCTTCTGTAAATGTTTTAATGAAACAAAATCAGCACCACGTGTATTTGTTATTAGTTATCCAATTATGCTGTACTAGCAGCAGAACATTAAAAGGCAACAGGAAGTTAGTTGCACACAACATTAAAGCAAACCACTCTCTTTCACTGCACAATTCCTAGCTACCTTGATTTGCAGGGGGATCGTATGTTGCTACAGAAGGGACTAAGTTTTATAGAAGACATTTGTTGAAAATTCTTAAAAATTCCCATAATTACATGTTGTATCAAAAAAGATAGTGAACAGGAAGGAAATGAAATTGTTCTCAGCAGCATTGAACAATGTCTTGTTGCTTCCTCTTTGTAATGTGGCAAGTGGGGGTAGGGTGAACAAAATGAGCATCCTGATGGATTTTATTTTAAGCAGGTTTCACTTTATGGTAAACACAAGATATTTTAGTGATAAATGGAATGCTTATTTGATATTGTCCCACATATTGTGACTTTGTGCTGGAAGCCTCTATACCAGAGGCCCAAGGAGTTATTCTTTTGTTCCTTTTTCTTTTTCCCTTTTTTTTTTTTTGAGACAGAGTCTCGCTCCTTTGCCCAGGATGGAGTGCAGTGGCCGCGATCTCAGCTCACTGCAACCTCTGCCTTCTGGGTTCAAGCGATTCTCCTGCCTCAGCCTCCTGAGTAGCTGGGATTACAGGCTCCCACCACCACGCCCGGCTGATTTTTGTATTTTTAGTAGAGACGGAGTTTCACCATGTTGGCCAGGCTGGTCTCAAACTCCTGAGAGCAGATGATCCGCACGCCTCTGCCTCCCAAAGTGCTGGGATTATGGGCATGAGCTTTCGCGCCCGGCCTGTTCCTTTCCTTTCTACTCCGTCAGTTAGTGGTTAGTTTTCACTTGGATTTGTAAACTCCTGGTGGGCAGTATTCCAAGTTCTCAGAAGCATTTGTGTCGGTGATAAAAAGGAAACAGAGACTAAGGAGTGATGGCTGCTGTAAAATCCTCCCTTGTGGAGTAAGAGCTCTCTGATCGCTCGCCTCTTTTTGCCTCCGCAATCCTTCACCATCTAACTTCTTTCTCAAAGCCTGCAGCACTTTGTTTGTGTCTGTTTGTTTGTTTGTTTGCCTTATCATAACCCTACCAGGCTGGAAGCTTTCCGATGGCGGAGATTGTAGCTTTTAGGGCAGAAGATGGATCTCCTCCGGCAACGTGTGCATGTGCAGGCAGCCGCTGGTTTCCTTGCTCCTTCCCCGGATTCTGAGCCGGGACTGTGGGTTCCTCATTTATATTATTGTTCAGCATATAGTCGAGGCTCAGTAAATGTTGGCTGAATGAAGAAAGAAAAGGATTGTGCAGCAGGTCTCCAGTTTTAAGATTCTTCAGGTGACTTGCCTTCTGAGTATTGCAGAGAACTGCCATTGCCTCCTGAGAAAAGCAGTCTACGGTCTGTGCTGGGAGTCTCAATGGCATTCCTCTGTCTGGTCACCGCATCCCTCTCAATCTGTGTGGTGGGGAATAAAGAATGTGAGGTGGCAATGGGGCTGAACATTCGAGCTCATTTTCCAGGAGTTGGTTCCCTTCTATAGGAACATTATCCGTGTATAATCGTGGCTTGGCATTGATGGAACTGTTCAAACAAACATGTCATGCTCCCACCAATACTGTTAATAAGAAACTTTGGGTGGAGGCAGAGGGAAGCACGAGACATCTGAATCTTGCATATGTTTTCTTTTTTTGACGGAGTCTCGCTCTGTCGCCCAGACGAGTGTAGTAGTGTGATCTCGGCTCACTGCAGCCTCTGCCTCCTAGGTTCAAGCAATTCTCCTGCCTCAGCCTCCCGACTAGCTGGGACTACAGGTGTGCACCTCTACACCCGGCTAATTTTTGTATTTTTAGTAGAGACAGGGTTTCACCATGTTGGCCAGGATGGTCTTGATCTCCTGACCTCATGATCCACCTGCCTCGGCCTCCCAAAGTGCTGGGATTACAGGTATGAGCCACCACGCCCGGCTGCATATGTTGTTTGTTAAGTAGTGAAATTTGCAATCAGTCCTTTGGAAGGAGACTAAATTAGGGGTGGGATGGAAGGTGAGATAGAAGACAGCATATGCGATTGAAAAGTGGAGAATTCTGATGGTTCTTTTATTAAAGGACAATAAGAAAAAAAGTTATTAAGAATAGGGTTTCAATTTTGTAATTGAACCCTGTGGAGTATATGCAACTAGAAAGATGGGATAGAGATGCAACTTGCTTTGCTTTATATAGTATCCAACCACTCTTTATAGCTGTGCAGTCTGTCAGATATTGTCCAGACTCTGTAAGTACAGACCAGTTTCTGCAGTTACTGCTCTTGTTTTCAAGAGCCTTGTTGTGTACTAATTTACTTGTTACTGCCCTTTATTTTTTTCTTTGCAGTGCAAAGTGCCATAATTGTTAAAGGTGTATGTATTTGAGGATATGGCAAGTTAATAATAAATTCTTCCTTCTAATCCCCTCGAATGTTGATCATTAAAAACACTGTAATGTGAAATACTTTGTAACATGCATTTACTATATACTTAGTCTAAGGATAACTTCACAATCTGAAGCTTGAAGTTGGTGAGCAGAAATACAATTTAAAATCATAAGCTGGTCAATAATTTGTTCTTCTGAAAAAATGGTGTCTTTGGTTCCACACAACATGTTCTTTTTCCAGATCGTTAATTTCTGAATACTCTTAATATAAAGTATACATGGTATGATCCCATTTATTTACTATCTCCTCACCTCAGTGAACAGAGACATACATGTTACACATATAAGAGCTATAGAAGGATATATATGAGTTTTAACAGTAGTTGTCTCTGAAGGTAGGTGCTATGGTTTCAATGTCCCCCTCAAAACTCATGCTGAAATTTAATTGCCATTGTGATGATATTAAGAGGTGGAACCTTTAAGAGGTGATTAGGCCATAAGGGCTCTGCCTTCACAGATGCATTGTTATTATCATGAGAGTGGGCTTGTTATAAAAGCCAGTTCAGCCCCCTCTTGCTCACTGGCTTTCATCTTGTCTTGCCCTTCTGCCTTCCACCATGGGATGCAGCATGAAAGCCCTCACTAGATCCCAGTGCCATGCTCTTGGACTTCTCAGCCTCCAAACTCATGAGTCAAATAAGCTTCTTTTTTTTTTTCTTGAGACAGAATCTCACTCTCTTGCCCAGGCTGGAGTGCAGTGGTGTGATCTCAGCTCACTGCAACCTCTGCCTCCTGGGTTCAAGCGATTCGCCTGTCACAGCCTCCCAAGTAACTGGGACTACAGGTGCACACCACCACACCCAGCTAATTTTTATATTTTCAGTAGAGTCGGGGTTTTGCCATGTTAGCCAGGCTGGTCTCGAACTCCTGACCTCAGGTGATCCACCCGCCTTGGCCTCCCAAAGTGGTGGGATTACAGGCATGAGCCACCATGCCCTGTCAGTTTATTTTCTTTATAAATTACCCAGTCTGTGGTATTCTGTTATAGCTACACAAAATGGACTAAGACAGTAGGTTTGTGAGTTTTCTGGTTATTTTTGCTTATAAGTTTCTGATTTTTCCGTAATAAGAAAATAAATTGTTTTTAACAACAAGAGGGGAGTTGTGGTTAGAATGTGTAAATCTGAGAAATACTGGAAGTATCCAGAAAATATCTAAGCCTTGCTCCTTGCCATGCCATTTTCTATGTGATTAGTGTAGTCTAAGATGCAAATCTGAATGTGTCACTCTCCTGCTTTGAGTCAATCTGCTCCAAAGGTATTTTAGTGTCACTGTTCATACTTACTGTGTGCAACTCAGTCATCTTTCAGTTCCCAGTGACAGAAATCTCATTCAAAATAACTGAGAAAAAATGATGAATCTGTTGGCTCATGCAACTGAAAAGCCCAGGGATGGCTTTAGGCCAGGCTAGATCTGGGAGTTCAAAGATGGCATTAAGGCCTTGTCTTCCTGATCCACCCTTGGTTCTGTTTTTTTCATGTTGGTTCTATTTCTAGACAGGCTCCATTCATGTGAAGGCAGCATAGCCATTGGTTTCTTCAGGTCCACATGGTCCTTGGAATTCAAGACCCCTGAGTAAATGAGAAGACTTCAATTGGCCTGGTGTGAACTGAGTGCTCATCCTTGAGGCCAGTCACCGTGGAATGGAATGAGGAGCACCACAGAAGGGAAAGGAATATTTTCTAAAGGAAGGGATTCTGGTCAAACAATGACTTGCCACCTGTATCCCTCTCTAAACGTTTCTCTTTTCCAGCTGCACCTTAACTAGTTTCAGTTTCAGGGGATGCCATGCTCACTCTGCTGTCTTATTTTTGCACATCTTGCTGCAGTGGCCCAAAATTCCCCTAGTCTTTACTTGGCTAATACCCACTCATTCTTCAAGATCTAGCTCATGATACTTCTATGGGATGCCTTTCCTGACCTTCCTAATCTGGGCTGGGTATTCACTTATGTGATCTCATAAGCACGTCACAGATACTTTTGACATTACACAACACCATTGCCACTGTTTGCATGAATACTTGTCTCTCTTACTAAACTAGCTTTTTGAGTTTTGTGATTGCACAATGCTTAGCACATAGTAATCACTCCACAAATGTTTGCTGAATGACTGAAAGATAATCTTAGTGTTGGTAAGATCCTGTTTTGCTTCTCCCATTTAAAAGATGCTTCAGGCTGGACATGGCAGGTCACATCTGTAATCCACAACTTTGGGAGGCCAAGGCAAGAGGATCATTTGAGCCCAGGAGTTCAAAGCCGACATGGACAACGTAGGGAGACCCCATCTTTATGAAAATTATAAAATTAGCTGGGTGTGGTAGCATGCAATTGTAGTCCCAGCTACTTGGGAGGCTGAGGTGGGAGGATCACTTGAGCCCAGGAGGTCAAGGCTGCAGTGAGCCGTGATTGTACCACTGTACTCCAGCCTGAGTGACAGAGCAAGGAGACCCCCATCTCAAAATAAATAAATACATAAAATAAATAGAAGTTGCTACAAAAATCTTGACTTTTTATTTAGGAGTAAGATATAATCTATCAAAACAAAACATCACATAACACATGTAACTTACTAAATTTGTGACATGAAATGTGAATAATATTAAAATTGAATTATGCGAAGTATCATTGGCCTTTGAATAAGTTATAGTCCTATTTGAAACATTGGTGGATCTGATTAGCTAGGGCAGGGGTTCTTAACCTACAATTCACAGACCTCTAAGGGATTCACGGATAGAATTCAGAAGATACATGAACTTGGATGGGAAAAATTAACTTTAATTTCACTAGCCTAAAACTAAAATTTAGTATTTCCTTCAATGACGAGTGCAGACAACAATCCACAGTTGTACTAGCAGTAACTTTGTCAACAGAAATCAGGTATTTTCATGTTACATCACAGTTGTTGCAGATATCTAATATATGTTTTATGCTACTTCAACATCATAGCAGTTATTACATCCACTCGTAGATCTGGCTATTAAATGCACACCTATAACTACCACATCATAAATTATTTGGTAGCTTACACTTCAGTGTAATTCGTTTCCCTTGTAACCCCATGCATTTCCTTTTCTGCATTTAAAAACATTATTCTGGCCAGGCATGGTGGCTCATGCCTGTAATCCCAGCACTTTGGGAGGCCGAGGCAGGTGGATCACCTGATGTCAGGAGTTCAAGATCAGTCTCGCCAACACGGTGAAACCCTGTCTCTACTAAAAAATACAAAAATTAGCTGGGTGTGGTGGCATGTGCCTGTAATCCCAGCTACTTGGGAGGCTGAGGCAGGAGGATCACTTGAACCTCAGGAGGCGGAGGTTGCAGTGAGCTGAGATTTCGCCACTGCACTCCAGCCTGGGTGACAGAGTGAGACTCCATCTCAAACAAACAAACAAACAAAAAAAACCCATTATTCTGAGGAGTCCATGACACAAAAAAGTTAAAGTGATCTAGGAAATCATTGAAAATGAAATAAGACCAAAGTGTGATGATATGACCCCCTTGAAATTTAACTTATCTTTCCCTCTTTCTGTCATGCTAAGAAGAGATCATAGGCCTTTTGGACAATCCTAAAACTATAAACCTCAGAAAATATGTCCTCTCTCAGACTGAAATTTCGTCTGATTGGAAAAGCCATGCAATTAAAGTATCAAAGGATCTCTGTGCTAGGTTGGACAAATGAAATAAACGCATTGGGACCTACTCAGAAACTCACAACTAACTGCTTTAGCCATTGGTTTAAGGGCTTGCCAAAGAAGGCAAATTTAAATTAATCTCCTTGTGTAGTTATCTGCATGACATTCACTAGAACAGGATTTTAGTTATCAAAATGCTTACAACATGCTGTATAAAGTTATGAGATCTTTTCTAATGTTTGGTGATAAGGATCTGACAAAGAGGTCAATTCCTCATTGGAATTTTTGTTCCCTAGGAATTTCTCCTTGGTATTGGTCTTGATTCCAATAAGAAACAGATGGTTCTTTACATGAAGATATTATGAGGAGATAAGTATAGGTATAGGCTACCCAAAGAGGAAGCACAGTAGCTTCTGCAACTCCAGGCTAGTAGCAGCAGAACTGACATCATCCTTGGCCAGAAAGGAAGAGTGCAGGGACTGGCAACCTGGAAAGCAGGGAAGGAGTTTGGGAGAAGTGACCTTTGGCTGCTAAGGCAGCCCCCCAACCCCAGGAGAAGAGCCGAGAATAGGCACCCTACCATCCTCTGATCTCTGGCCAGGACACTCCTTGGCCAAACCCACTCAGAAGCCAGGAGGCATAGGAGCCCACTGCTGTGGTCCATTCGGGTCAGCTTTGTGGGCAAGAGCAGAGTGGAGCTGGAGGGGAAAACAAGAGATATCCAGCACATGTAGCAATTTGCTGCCGTAGCACTTAACACACTATTTAATGGTGCAAGAGAATTGTATTTTTATTCATGGTTGTGCCTAGTAAAATTCTGGTACATGGTAAGTGCTCAGTATTACTGAGTGAATGAGCAAAGACCTGAAATACTGTGGAAACAGTAAAAGCAAATTACCACACAATTAGGAGGAATTATTTTCAGACATAGGATATTTAAAACATCACTCAAATACTGGAGCATGATTCAGCAATAAATTCTATTCCATAAACCAGGTAGATAAATGTCACAGCTTTAAAATATAGTTAAGTACAGTTGATCCTCGTTATTCATGGATTCCGTATTTGTGAATTTGCCTAACCTAAAATTTTGTGGTACAGCAAAAAACTTGCTGTACACATATTCTGAGCTGAGGTTGAACAAGGCCATGTTCCAGCTTTCATACTATAAACGTGTCCTTTTTACGCTAATGCCATGGTTTTTGCATTTCTGTTCTTTTTTTGATTTCACTGTTTAAAATGGCCCCCAAGCATAGTGCTAAGGGCAAAAAGCTGTTCCTAAGGGTAAAAAGGCTGTTGTGTGCCTTATGAAGCTTATGTGTCAGATAAGCTTCATTCAGGCATGAGTTACAGTGTTGTTGGTCATGACTTCAATGTTAATGAATCGATTATATTAAATAAGGTGTCTTTACAACAGAAATTTACATGTTGACTGCTTGATGAAAATGTGACCAGTGGCTTGCAGAAATCTAGCCTTGTATTTCCCCTAGGTTCTATATTTGCTAATTCAGTGTTCGCAGTGACTTTATAGAACGTAACTACCTTGAATAATGAGAATCAACCATACTTGCTGTTTTCCAGTTCCTAATAGATTTAAAAAAAAAATTCAATTTACAAAAGACACAAGATGACTTTTCTTGTCAGCAGCTAACTGATCCTCATGATGTAAAACCAGAAAGAGGGGGGAAACACCAAAATTCATCACCACTGCATAATTTCAATGTGATATATTAAAATTTATTACTTCCTGAATAGTATTCAACTAAATCTATATTATTTCAATTAAAGTTACCTAGGCCATATGGTTTGAAAATTGAAAAATCCAGTAAGAGGGAAAAGGAAAAATACCTTATTTAATACATTGACTTTAAGAACAATCACATATGCATTATTCTTACTATCTGAACTTAGCCTCTGGTAAATTCAATCCTGCTTAGTTAGGCCAATTGATACCCTCTACAATAAGCCCTACATGATCAAAAAGCTTCATGCTTTCTACTTACAGCAGCATAGCAAATCTGAAGTTCTTAAAAAAAAATCGCCATTCTATTAACAATTATAAACGATTTTCCATGCTCTGGTACAAGAATATTTAATGTTAGCCAAGAAAGATAGCCATCTATTCCACTGAGGATTGTAATAGAGGCAGCCTTTTGATTTTTATATTTGTTTAAAGTACACAACTTGAATAGTAAAATAGAAACTGAGCTGAAATTTCTAATTCACTTTCTAACCATAGTAAGAATGATATTTCCCCCCAGGGATCACCAAATATTTATAAAAATTTGTACTAACATTCTGTAAGAATCCACACACATCAGTAAGAAGCTGACCTTCCTGTTGGCCATGCTCCAAATGTCTTTAAGACTAGACAAATTACATATATTATAAAAAATTTCAGGATGAATATTGAGTGCCTGGGTATTATCACAGTAATAGTAAAGGTTAATGAAATAATTTTTATTTCTGAAAAACACCATGTTTATACCCCAAAATAGGTATCAATGTTACTGGTGATAAACTCAGAAGTGATCATTATATATATGCTTACTGTGGAAATGAAGTAGTAGAGCTCTGCAAATGGGACGGGAAAATACCCAGGCACTTCATCAATGAACATTTATTTGCTAAAAAGAAACTATTAAAGTGATTGCAGCCTTGACATAGTTGCATTAACATCAAATAGCCACATTTATGTCCACTTACAGGGACTACTATAAAGAAGCAATCAAGCCAAGTTTAATAAAATGTGTCGATACAGAAAACATATTTTTCACAATTAGAAAAATTTAACATCTTTAATTCAAACACTTAGATGAGAAACAGCCTAAAGCAAAGACTGACATACACTACCTATTTCAACCACAAAGCAAGATGCTCTCACTGTGACTGAAGAAAAATCATTTAATATTCATTATTAGTTAGTATAACTCCAAGGAATGATTATGCTCATAAGTAAACAAGAGTTTCCAAAGACTTGTAACTAAGATGTATAAGACGTAAAGTCAAACTGCAAAACTAGTTCAAAGCAATTAGAGTCCAATAGTTCTCTTATGTTTTCTTTCATTATCTTTATTTTAAATTTGATATTTTAGAATAGGAAATTATCTTTCACAGCAATGCCTCCTGGTCTGATAATACAGTATCTCATTTCTGAATGTAAAGATTTAAAATAAATCAAAATGAACATTAAGGCGTACAAAGCTACTTTAAGTCTGCTCTTAAGATCAGTTTTTGCTCATATTCAAAATACATGGAATGTTGGCACAAAACTGAAGCTGCTGTAGAAAGATCACAGATGTTCTGTGGGTTACTCAAACTTCCATTTCTCTAAAAACATACCCTTACATGGTCTTAATTTTATGAATTTAAGTGTTGAGAAATATCTAAATAATAAGTAACAATTAAAATAAAATGTTTTATTTGTAAATTATGTACAGAATACACTTTACGTTACGCCAATGAAATGGGGAGGGAGGAGGGAGAGCCATCACCTTCCAACAAATGCTGTTCACTTTCTCTGCTGGAGACGACCATCTTTCTCTCAGTCAGACGTACAAATCAGTGTGGATTTCCTACATTGGAAAAATAATTTAGCTAAACCAGAAGTGTTGCTGCATTGTTACTAGTTGGCTTGTTTCCACAAAATAGTTTTGAACTCTGCTAACTCAGAATCTTAAAAGAAATCTCCTGGTATAATTTTATAATGAAAAATAAAAACTATCAAGGACAATGAGTTTACACATCTTAAAGAAACTGTGAAATGGCTACATAACTATGCATAATGTGAAATGTTGGAGTTTCTTTGTTCCTTTTAAAGTTATTTTTGATTAGTCTAACAGTAAAAAGCCATAAAACTATCAAAAATTGCCATTAATGTAAATTTAACTGTGGAAAGTACATCTTTGATAACTGTCAAAATGAATGAGACCTACTTACTGTAAAATTATCAAATGGATAAAACATATTAATGGCTTTAAACTGTACCAATAATAGTGCCAATATTCTATAAAATGAAGGACCGAATATAACTGCTTGAATGTCAAATACATTTCAGTAGATAGATTTAAAGAATGCTACAAATGCCATGTGTTCAATATGGTAATCAGCCAACATAGAAAATCCAACCTCTTGTACTTATTCATTCAGTCCCAAAATTAGTCAGATTATGATTTTTCATGTGAAGATTTAGGTGTTTCTCCATCATTTTCCTCTTCCTCATCCTCTTCACAATCCCCATCTGTTTGCTGTTCCAGTTCCTCTTTTGTTATCATTTCAAAATCATTTCCATTTCCACTACTGTGCTGGGATCGATCATCTTCCCTCCTGTCACTGTCCGTGTCTGAATGCCGTTCTCCCCCCGAGCCTTCTGTTCCATGATTTCCTGGTCCTACTTTCCCCTCCTCATCTTCCTTTTTCTCACTGTCTGACTTTTCCTCACTGTCGGACTTCTGTTGCTTTTTGGTTTCAGACTTCTCATCTTTCTTTAAGTCTGCTTTTGGTCCTTTGTATTCATGTGTGTACAGAGGCCTGAAGGAGTCAATGAAGCCCACATCAGCAGTCAGATTTGGCAAGAACCAAAAGTGGTGCCTTCCTCCAGTTATGAGCCAAATGATGAGAAATAGAATGCATCGAGCTGTGGGGAGAAAAATTTCTCTAATTGAGTAATTCAAACACTGCCTCAGAAGGGAGTATTTGTTAATAAAAAGCTGGGAAAACAGTTTTATTATCTGCACATTTCATACACCTTAAATATTAATATTTAAATCCTGATTAGTGCTGGGCGTGGTGGCTAAACCTCTAATCCAAGCTACTTGGGAGGATCACTTGAGCCCAGGAGCTCGAGGCTGCAGTGAGCTATAATTACACCACTGCATGCCTGAAAACAAAAAATTCCTGACTAGTTTAGCAGCTATCACGGTATTCTAGGGGCACAGAATGTTGCTCTGAACTTGAGGTCACAATGCAATAATGTCACTGAAAAAAATTACTTCTTTTTTCCATCTGGGTGTACACTTACATGGATATACACTTCTGATTTATGTACTTTGTGATATTATGCTTCAATACACATAGCAATCAGTTGGGAATTTAAGTATTCATAAGATCATGGTGTAGGAAAAGAATAAAATAAAGAGATGAAAGGTGTTTAGGAAGGAAGCCTTTAAGAAGGAAAAGCAGGGCTGCATCATACTTCCCAAGGCCCTAGGCCCTTTTGCCTTTGTAAGGCACTTACTCCACAAAAACTATTAAATATTATATTTTCTATACATTTATGACTATATTTTCTGTACATCTGTATAAACACGAATAAAATACTGTATAGGTTTGCTATTACATACATGTATATACATTACTACTTCTGATTTAAAAGAAATAAAAATGAAAATATTTCTGTGGACCCCTATATGTATCTTGGTCCAAGGCACACGTTTACTATGCCTAAAGGATAAATTAGCCCTGGATAAGGAACCCCAGTATTAGAAAGTTTCCATCTTTTAATCCTTGTTTTCTTATTTATTTATTGAGGACAAGGTCTTGCTCTGTCACCCAGGCTGGAGTGCAGTGGCACAATCATGACTCGCTGCAGCCTCAACCTCCTGGGCTCAAGCAATCCTCCCACCTCAGCCTCCAAGTAGCAGGTACGTGCCACCATGCTCCGCTAATTTTTGTATTTTTTGTAGAGATGGGGTCTTGCCAAGTTGCCCAGTCTGGTCTTGAACTCCTGGGCTCAAACTCCCAAAGTGCAGGGATTACAGGTCTATATCTATCATTTATTTATCTAATCTCTCTCTCTCTATCTATCCTCCCTCTCTCTCTACCTATCTACCTACTTTGATAGACAGGTTCTTGCTATGTTGTCCAGGCCAGTCTTAAACTCCTGGCTTTATGTGATCCTCTCACCTCAGCCTCCCGAGTAGTTGGGATCGCAGTTGTGAGTCACTGAACCTGACCTTTTTGTTTTATTAGTTAGGTAAACTATGTAATTTTTGCTTAAAGACCAATCCTCTCAATATTAGGAAAAATACAATGTTAATGAAAGCAAGATCACTTAAATACATAAGGTTTACTCTTTTATAACACTGTATTATGAAAAAACTGTAGAAAAATGGAATTTGAATTTTAAAATTTGTAGTAATGAGTTATCACAAACCCCAATATTTAGTTTTCTCTGAATTTACCAATTATGTAGAGCTGAGTGATTTTTTCCTGTTTTTTAAAAGGTCATGATGATTATGTGAATGTTACAGACTAATCAATTATGACAGGAGTTTTGGTTTTTGTTTTCTTTAGACAATTCTGTCACTGTTTTCATATAAAGCCTGAAATAAGCTAATCTATGTGTCTTCCATTATTTTGCTTTGTATAAATGGAAGAAAATCGTTATAGCTGTCTTGACTTTTAAAAATAGCAATTTTTATTTTCACAAGAATATAAATATTCTGAAAGACTCCTGTACACATTAGAATCTTTCGTGGTATAAACGGAAAAGGTAAATATGCTTAAAATTATGATTTAAGAATAAATTCCACTGATAAACAGAGATAATGAATTTAAGGAGGCTGTACATTTTTTTCTCCAATTATGATGCAATGATAGGTTTTACAGGATTGTAAGACAGATGATTCATAATATGAAATCTTGTATCAAACCAAAGAAAAAGCAATATAGAAATGGCACTAACCTAATTTCTTATCACATACAAATGGTATGGCAAAATGTTCATGTTTTACAGTTTTTCGCTATGTGGCACTAGATTACCGAGAGTGAAAAGGGAAGAATTATGGGGAAGCTGTGACATGTACTATAATAACATTCCTATGCTAAAAGCGACAGATTTTAGAAAACTGCCAAAGGTTTTATTTTAAATGGCATTATTAATAATGCATATTCAAAGAAACACCAGATATAATTGTGACCAATACATAATATTTCAAGACCCTGACTTTAAAAAAAAAAATTAGCTAGGCATGGCAACATGCTCCTATAGTCCCAGCTATTCAGGAGGCTAAGGTGGGAGGGCTGCTTGAGCCCAGGAGTTTGAGGGTACAGTGAGCTATGATTCTGCCATGGTACTTTACCCTGGGCAACAGAGCAAGACCCTGTCTCCAAAAAATGAATATATATAAAAATATATTTCATATAAATATGAGATATCATATAATATATATGACATATCATATGATATATATTATATGATATATATGATATATAATATTATGATATATCATATATCTATATATCATATATATTCATATATAATATACATGATATATATTATATGCGATATACATAATATATATAAAGACTTCAAAGAATAATATAAAAGAAATATCTAATTATTTGAAAGTATATTTGGAATTGCATTTTCTAAGAGAATCAAAATAAAATGTTGGGTTTGTTTCCTGGTATAATTCAGAAGACTATTTGGTTCATAATGCATATTTAAATCCACAGCATATTTACAATGAAAATTTATTTAAAGAGACTACTGAAGAAACAATATTTTAAACAGCAAAACTACATAATAACCATAAACTATTGTGAACACTGGTTTAATTTAAAAATAAGCAAGTAGAATAATTCTATTCAGTGGAGCTAAACCTTTGCTAAAAATTTCCAAGGAGTTTCTAAATTTCAGGAATTTGAAAGGCAAAAAGCACCAATTTTATTATGTCTAATGTCAGATCAAAGTTTATGACTTTTCCTTCTTGATGCAGGTATTACACTGACACTAAATTCAAACAGGCTTAGATATTGTTTCTTGGCCTACAAATGTGCCCGTGTTCCATGCAAAACCAGCAGGGGATTTTTCTGCTGCCAGAGGTTACCAAATCAGAGGAAGGAGGCTGGGCGTGGTGGTTCACGCCTGTAATCCCAACACTTTGGGAGGCCAAGGAGGGCAGATCACCTGAGGTCAGGAGTTCGAGACTAGCCTGGGCAGAGTGATACCCTATCTCCCCCACAAAAAGCCAGGCATGATGAAATGCACCAGTACTCCTAGCTACTTGGGAGGCTGAGGCAGGAGGATTGCTTAAGCCCAGGAATTCAAGGCTGCAGTGAGCTATGATCTCACCACTGCACTTCAGCTTGGGTGACAGAGCAAGACCCTGCCTCTAAACAAATAATCTATGAAAGACCCCAATCATCCAGAAATGCGGAAAATTCATTTACTTATGTTTTCCTATTTGATTTTTAAAACATTAACTCCTTATTGCATCTAGTATTTTGGTACTTGGGTGAAAATTATTGATTTTTCCCAAAATGGCAAATCAATTGTTTAGAATCATTTATTAAATATATGCATAGATTATTTAGATGTTGCATTTGTTCTAAGTCAAAATTAAAAAATGTTTTACTGAAAGTATTATGTCTAATAAATGATCTACCACTGCAAAAATATTAAACGCCTCTGCCATAACTAATTTTTAAAGCACATCTATTTGCAGATTAAGATATAATAATGTATGGTATATTTCAAAATAAGTAAATTTCAAATGTCTCACAATAAATGATAGGCAAGAAAGGTGATCAATATGCTAATTATGTTAATTAGCTTGATTTAAACATTCCACATTGTACACATACACCAAAACATCACATTGTACCCCATAAATGTATACAATTATGATCTGTCAATAAAAAATAATCTTATTAAAAAATTTTTTTAAAGATGTATTAAATCCTTTTTCTGCAGACAGAACACATCTTACCAAGCCTGAGTTTTGAGATTTGACTCAGAAAGTAGTACCATATATTTCTTGATTTACCTCCATTAATTTTTCTTAAGCTTTACTGAAGCTCCAAATTACAGTCCAACTGCTCAATACCAACCTTCTTGAGGTCAATTTTATAATAACAATACTTACCAACAGCAAGGAGAAGAATACTGGCTACAAAACAGCCTGCACCCACACTGAGGTAATAAACACCTACTCTCATTTCTGCTGGCCAAAGGGGGAAGAGGGTGGCCGCTATTACTGCAATCACTGGAACAAGAAATGACAAAAGTTAAATTTTAGAATAAAAACTTAAATGGTATGGCTGCACTAACAGAAACATATCCCTGGGGGAAAAACTGAGAAACATAAACACAGTGAAATATAAAATTGCCATTTTTATAGGTAAAAAATGGTCAATTATGAGCAATTTCATATTGTTCAACCTAACATTTTATACTATTCTTAAACTAGTTTTTATTAGTGTAAATTACATATAATTAGAAAAAAATGCTATGTAGAAATTCAAAACTGTTGCCTCCTTAATTTATCAACTGCCCCCTTTTTCAAGCTATATCTACTTTATTTAAAAAATACTAAGATATTTGCCTACTAAGTAAGGGAGCTAAAAGAAACAACAGAACAACAAAGCCAACAAAAAATGATTTCCAAGACCCCTCTCTGGAGATTCTTCTTCTGGGGTGGAGCTCTGACATCCACAGACTGAAAGATTCCCCAGGTGATTTCTGCTACAGATGTATTTTTTGGTGCTTAGGGAAACTGTTTACAAGTGTCTCCAGTTTTTTTGCAAGTAAAGTGGGGACACAAGAAAGAATTATAAGAAATTAGAAGCCTGGTTATTAGGTCTTTAGAATAAGACCAGGATTAAAATTCTAGCTCCATCACTTATAAGCTATGTAACCCTGGGCAAGTTACTTAACTCTTTTGAGGCTAAGTTACCTTATATTTAATAAGTCTCTTCCTATTCTTCAAAGGTTGTTGTGAGGATGAAATGATATATTGTACGCAAAATATCTAGCAAAGTGACTAGTACTCTTATTATAAAAGAGTTATTTTGCTTTTTGTTTTCTGAAACAGAGTCTTACTCTGTCACCCAGGCTGCAGTACAGTGGCATGATCTTGGCTCACGACAGCCTCGACCTCCTGAGCTTAGGTGATCCTCCCACCTCAGCCTTCTAAGTAGTTGGGACTACAGGTGTGAACCACCACACCCGGCTAATTTTTTGTAGAAACGAGGTTTCGCCATGTTGCCTAGGCTGGTTTCGAACCCTTGGATTCAAGCCATCTCCCTGCCTTGGCCTCCTAAAGTGTTAGGATTACAAGTGTGAGCCACTGAGCCCAGCCTTAAAGAGTTATTTTGAATGGGATCCTATCATACCATATTGACCAAGCTTATTTTAACTGCTACCTATTTTTTTTTTTTCTGTTTGTTAAATCATTCTTTCCCCATAAAACCTCCTGGAATACACACGTTAAAAAGCAAATCAAAAACAAATCAAACCCCCAGCACTTTGGGACAACGAGGCAAGTGCCCAGGAGTTTGAGACCAGCCTGGGCAACATGGCGAAACCCCATCTCTACAAAAAAATACAAAAATTAGCGGGGTGTAGTGGAGTGTGCCTATAGTTCCAGCTACTCAGTAGGCTGATGTGGGAGATCACCTGACCCCAGCAAGTCGGGCTGCAGTGAGCCATGATTGTGCCATTGCATTCCAGCCTGGGTGACAGGAATGAGACCCTGTCACAAACAAGCAAATCAAAAGGTATAGAGAAAATTAAGTCTTCATCTAATTCTTATTCCACTTCCCAGAGGTTAAGTACTATTAAGCTTACCTGTATTCTCAGAGACTGCCTATATATAATTAACTAGCTACAGGGACTTTTTTTCTAAATAAGTAAATGAGCTTATACTATTCTTACTCGTCTGTAACTTTCTTTTCTTTTTTTATCTATTCTAGGTATAATATCCTTGCACATGTACGTTTGTGCAACTGTGATTATGGCATAGGGTAAATTCCTTAAAGTGGAATTTATTAGATCAAATGGTATAAGCATTTTGAATTTGAAAGATATTTGCTAGATTATACTCAAGTATAGTCTAAGGGATTTGGAAAAAAACAGATAATGTGTCAATGCACACACTTTGTGCAACTGTATGGGAACAGCCTAGAATTGCTGGGTCACTGCAGACACATAAAATTTCAAAGATACTGACAAACTGCCCTTTACAAAAATTAAAACAATAGACATACCTATCAACTGTTAGAGAGAGCTGATTTTTTTCTAAGACCTTTAATGTTAAGGTTTGCAAGACTCTTAATCACTACAGCTTTAATTTGTATATGAGTGTGATTAAGTATCACTCATGATGATTGGTCATTGTATTTCTTTATCTGTTAACTACCTTGACCATTTTTCTATCAGTTTGTTAATCTCTTAAAAGATCTTTAATATGTTTCAAATATTTTCCTTAGTGTATTATTTATCTTCTGACTTTATTTAAAGTATTTTTAAAATGACAACTATTTTATGTTAAATTTAGGAACATTTTCTTTTACAGTATCTGCATATTGTTTTCTAAATTTTAGATTGCACTTTATAGCTATTAACATCTCACTACTTACCAAGAATTAATCCCATGACAAATGTTTTAAAGTGAACTGGGTCATAGATCCATACATACACCTAGAAGAATCAAGAAACCTCGGTGCTTAAAAGTTCTAATGTCACATTAGAAAGTAATGCTTAATTCTATATTTTAGGTCCCTTAAAGCAGTCATCAACCTCTTAACATACGAGAAGTAATTTCTAAGGTAAATAAATTCCAAAGATCTTTCCTTCAGTAGTAGTGGTTCTTCTGGCGCTAGAAAATGATTATAGGATAACTATAAATTCTATAAAGCACTTAAGTAAATTTGTATGTTCTTACATACACTTAAAAATTTGTTTGACTGGGCTTGGTGGCTCACGCCTATAATCCCAGCACTTTGGAGGCCAAGGCGGGCAGATCACTTGAGGTCAGGAGTTCAAGACAAGCCTGGCCAACATGGTGAAACCCTGCCTCTACTAAAAATACAAAAATTAGCCAGGTGTGGTGGTGGACGCTTGTAATCCCAGCTACTCGGGAGGCTGAGGCAGGAGAATTGCTTGAACCCAGGAGGCAGAGGTTGCAGTTAGCTGAGATCACACCACTGCACTCCAGCATGGGCGACAGAGCAAGACTCTGTCTTGGGGGAAAAAAAAATTGTTCCATGTGTGCACATCATTATTTATTCAACCAAAACACCAGCAACTGCCAACCTTTTTGTCCCTAATGTAATGATGAACCAGTCTGGGATAAAAGCGCAGTTAAGACAGATTCCAGCCAGGCCCTATTACAGATCTAGTATCACTCAACTCCACACTTTTCTCTCCTGAGAAGACACAAAGATCAATTATTAAAGATCATGCTTGGTGAACATAGTCTCTATGACTGTATTAATTTCATTGCCTACTCCTCCATGGAGGGCCCATAAGCTGGGAACCACTACTTCAAAACTTAATTTACTTTTATCAGGCTCTTATTTTACACAACAGAAATTTACTTCATTCAGATCAGAACTCTGTTTGATCATTCATCCATAAAACTCAGTTTTATTTCTTAGTTTCTATAAATAACAGTACTCTTCCCTCTTATTTCTATATTGACCAGAACTCTTTATTGTCTTTCCAACGTGGTTCTTCAATTTTTAACACCAGAGGTTCCACTTTAACCTCTTATTTTACTCTGCCCATTTCCTTGGGAATCAGATTCACAGATATTACTTCTGCCAGTTTCCATTCTAAAAAAACATGTTTTTTTAAAAAAGATATTTCACAACTTTAAAAGTTATGGAGTGCATGCTGCTTTCTACAGAATAAAATCTAGGCTTCTCAGGATACCAAGCACCCATGCGTTTGCTCAGGCTGTTTCCTTCCCTAACAGACCTAACCTCCTTCCTGGCACGCCTGGCAATCTGCCAGTCATCTTCAAGTCTAAGCTCAAATGTCCTTTAGACCCTTCTTATCCTTCCTGACTAAATTAACTATTCCTACCTGGTGCTTTCACACCATTAATGCTTACCACACTGTACTATATTAACATGTTTAAGTGCCTGTATCTTTGCTAGACCATTAAGAGATTTTATCCTACTTATCAAGCTATTCCCAACGCCTATAAAAATAAAAATTTCTATTACAGTGGTTCTCAACAAGGGGTTCACATCAGTCACCTGAGGACACTTTATTATAGATATATAATCCTCCCCCACAATCCCACTCTAGATAGTCTCATGCAAGTAAGAATTTCAAACACACAACCCTAGGAGCCATGACTTTATAGATGTTACTATTGTATAGGTATAACAGGAAAGGATATATCCTGAAATTCACAACAGTTCAATGCCCAGTATATAACTCATGTTTACGTACTGGTGAAGTGACTGAATTAAGCAGTCTTTATGGAAGGCTACCACCATACAAATCTTCCATTACAAATGATAAGCATAAAGCATCAAGAAATGTTAAAAATTTTAAGCCCCTCAAGTGATGTGTCTGACTTACATTCTGTAAGAGATAGAGACTTGTAGCTATCTCCTATTCTGCTCTTTTTTCTTTGATAATAATGGAAACCCTACATTTCGGCTGGGCAAATAATCATCCTGTATAAAAAGTGCATTTCCAAGATTTTACTTCTCATATGCATGACCATGTGACTATGTTCTGGCCAATGGAATTCAAGCAGAAATGAAATTACCAGCTTTCTGGACAGTGTCCTTAAACTGGTCTCCTTAAAGAGGAGACATATTCTTCACTCTCCTTTCCTCTTTTCGATGCAGATATAAGATTGGCAGTCATTCTGGACCATAAGGTAACCTTAGCTAGAAGCCTCAGACAGAGGAGAAAAGAAGAGCTGGGATCCACCATGGAGCTGACGTATCTGTACAGCTTACCTACAGATTTCACTGATAAAAAAGAAATAAGCATCTATTTTGTATTAAGATGCTTTTATTTCAGGTTTCCTATCACTCACAGTCAAATCTGACTTTTAAAAATCTAAATAAGAGAAATTATTGATTTTTAAAAATGGAGTAGCTTTTATACATTTAAGAGCATAATTAGATTTCTCAAAATTTTTCCTTTTATTAGTGAAGGCATCAAACATCTTTCTAAAAACTCCTATAGAAAACTGAACTTCTAGTTATAGGCTTACTCTCACCTCATTTCCATCCAGAAAAACCTGATCATCATGTGGCTCAAGTTTGAATTTTTTCTTAGTTTCCTTCTTTTTAGGAGTTCCTGGAGTTTCCTCCTATGAAAACACAAGTTGGACAGAAGAAATAACACAAGTAAGCAAGAAATATGATGTTCATACAGTCAAAAAACTTTCACTGACTATTTGTAACACAGAAATAAAAATTCTCAACCACGGTATTTATAACAACTCTAATATAGTTATCTCAGGTAGGTGTTGCATAATACTTAAATGTGCTCATAGGCCAGTAGTGTTCATGTGCACATAATGATTTTTAAATTTTTACTTAATTTTAGATTAACTCACCTTTTTGGATTCTTCCTTTTCACCATCTTTTTTTTTCTCTTTTTCTTTTTTTGTCTTCTCATCCTTTATATTTTCTTTCTTGCTCTTTTTATCTTCTTCTTTTCCACTTTCAGCTTTTCCTTTATCTTTTTCTTTCTTTATGTCTTTATCATATTTCATTTTCATTACTTTTAGGGCTCGGTGAAAAAACTGCTTCTTTAAAAGCCTTTGGGAAAAACAGGTATGGCATTACACTCCCCATATAGATAGAGACTGAAAAGCAAAAATATCAAGACCTGAATAAAATAAGCAAAGGAAGGCATAAATTAGCAACACAAGAGAAATTACAACTAGTATGCCCGTGAAAAAGTAGTCAACTCTACCACTAAATCAAAACACTTTACAGTCAATTATATAAAAGTTGTCAAAACTCAGTGATATTCAATATAATTTTCACTTTTAATGATGTACCTTAAGTATAAAAGAGATTATAGGTTTGAGATTATCCATATAAAGACTCTTTCTGGGTTCATATAATCAAGACTCAGCTTCACTTTATGTTAAGTCTCAAATGCAAGAGCTGACGTAATAAAGAAAGGAGAAAATAAACAGTTTAAGAAATGTTAACAGATTAAAAGTGATGATTTGATGGGTCCAAATAATGTCTTTTCAGCTTTCTTGGTGTTATTTTTTCTCCAAGTACTTCGCAATTCAGTGTGCCACTGTAATGATTATCTTCAATTAAGCAATGATTAAATATACTAAGGTGAGATTTTTGGACTCTGAAAAGGACGTGCACAACATCAAATTGAAAAATGTGCAATATATTTGGCAAAACATGATGTATTCCTGGTTTCACTAATTTCTCTCTAAATAGATTGTTTTCTCTCTTTTTATCAGTTATTACTATATTTTATATTCTCACCTTAGGGCCTTCACACTGGCTGTTCCCTTTACTTAGAATGCTCTTCCCCCAAATAAGCAGGTCCTTTTGTTTCACTCCCTTCCTTCAAGTTTTCCCTCAACCACAACCTACTCTGTTTAAAACATAAGCCCACCTTCCCATTCTCTCGTTTCCTGTTACCCTATCCATAGCACTTATCTTCTAACTCACTATATAATTTGTAGTAGTTGTTTGCTCCTTCACTAGACGGTAAACTTCTTAAGAGAGAGAGAGATCCTTGCTTTATTCATTTTTTATCTGACCCCAGATTAAGTCAACGTTGCTTGGTAGTTTCTCTTTAACCTTACAATCCTACTCAAGAAATTGGGTTGCCCTTATTTTTGTCATCTAAAAGTCACTTTTTCAAATCTCATGTTCTAGTTTCAGAATTTCTGATTGGTTTCTCCATTCCTGCTTTGATAATGTCTAATTGCCACAATACAATCTAGAAGCTACGTCTCACTACCACCACTGGTGCCTGCTAATGGTGACTATCTAGCTACCTTTCTACTTACACCTCACTGGTGCCTGCTCCAGCACATCACAGCACTTGTTAACTAGATGCTTTCTTCCTGCCCAGATAACCACTTCTTTTTGTCACTGTGTTCAGTCCCCTGAAGCACCTATGTTTCTATGTTTTACCTGCCTGGCTGGGCTTCCATCTGCTCCCCAATTAGGTCCAGCCTATGAGCACTTCCACAAAGCTAATTTCTAGGTTTCCTCATTTGGCCCATACTACTTATTTGGAAGAGCTATTTTTAAATTATGTAAATATGATTGTGCATATAATTGTGCAAATGTTCAAACTGCCCCTCAAAATGCTACCATCATATCTGCTATGAATACATATACATATATAAACAAACAAGAATCTGAAATGAGACCTTAATGATTAACTACTTATGAGTACAAAGTGGGATTTAAGAATAGTAGTGGCATATTTGAATATGAAGTGTAGTCTTACATTTTTTACTCCAGAATGTCTTACAAAAAAAATCTATAATGAAAATATATTCTAATTTTCTTTGTGCACTTATATGATTTCCAGATTTTCTTTCAGGAACATTTATTTCCACTCCAAATGAAAATAAAAATACATCCTGTTCCTCATATGTTAATTGAAAAAGCAGCATTTTATAATGCAGTTAATATACATGTCCATATATTAAGAGTACATGTGTACACATACAGATACTTGAAGTATATATTCTCAAATGGTAATGTGGCTGGCTATCTACGAAGCAACATTATTAGTAATTTGGATTTTCTTCTAAATCATTTGCAACAGTTCCCATTTTCTTAAATTTACTTTAGTGGAAAAAATGATTCTTAATAAAGAATTTTAAAAACAAACAATGCAACTTTAGTAGAAAAAAGCCTTTTCCCTGATGAGTAGATACTGAAGGCAATAGAACCAGCAGGATCATCTGCTTCTGTCAATTTTCCTGCACAGCTGCCCACCCCCACGAAAGAAAAGTAGATTATTAACTTTCAATCAAATTGTGTTGAAAATAATTTCACAATTAGGTTGAAAGATGAGACTGACATTATTTAACATTTGTATAGTATCAGAGCCTCCGTTTGTTTGGCTTTAAACCCATGACATAGAACACATTACTAACATAAAACTCTCTGACATTTTTACACAACTACTCATACTTTCCTATCTCGGTGTGTTCTATGCCCTTTGCTTGGAATGAATTTCCTTTCTTCTCTTGTTTGTTGGGTAATCACCTATTTATGTTTCAAAATTTACTTAAAACATTTTCTGTGTGATGTCATTCTTCATAGTTTCACCATCTCTCTCTTCCTTATTCAACACACTGCATTGTGATTAGTTATAAATCTTCCCTAACAGATCAGAATATGTTTTGATGTAGGGACCAAGTCATAGTTATTATTGTATTCCTGGAGCCTAGACTATTTGTTGAGTAAGTGGTTTTAAAACAGCTTCTAAAACATTTAAAAAATTACTTCTGTATTTTTTTCCTTCACTTCCATTTTTTTTTCAGATTTAACAAACATTTATTAAATGCCAGACATGTTGGGGACTTCCACCAATGTGGCAAAGGTGAGTTTTTATGAAGTGCTCACACTGTGGTAATTGCTATGGAGTTACAATAAAGTATAAAACAGTCTTACAATTGTTTTCAGATTTAGCTGGCAGGAGATTTTAAAAAAACTCACACATATGTAGCAATTCTAAAATAGTTAAGGGCCAAACTGGGAGGTACTAACTTGATAAACTCAGTAGAACTTTAGATACAAAGGCTGATGAAGGCTGGAGGGCCTGGGGAAGAGTACATTCGGTAGAGGAAGGACTTGAGGGATTTGTTTGTGATTTTGAGAGGCAGGTGGGACAGAGGAAACAGAACCGTTTAGGGAAAGTGGCAAGTTATGATAGGAAAAAGACTAGAAGAAAAAATGAGTGTGGCATGTGCACAAGACTGAGGACGACATAACTGGATTGGGGGTCAGTGATACAAAGTCTTGTGGAGACTTAACCTAGTATGTATGAGTTCATTCATGATATAGGCCATAAAAAGGTATAGATCACATTAGAAAAGATTGTTTTATCATCCTACATTTTCCTATTTTGTTTTTCCTCAGACTCCCTCATGCCACTTAGCTGCCTCAGAAAAACTGACAGTATTGGAGGATGCCAAAAAAAGAAAAAAAGAAACTGGTCAAGAGACCCTTTGTGATTTTGTCTGCTATTGGGCAGCAACTCATGAGAACTGGCCAATAAGACTCTACGGTTATATTAGAAGTGGCTCTGGAGACCTTAAAGTTATGCTATTCTCATTTATTTTAGTGCAGAAAGGACTCAAACAATCTGACATCAGTGGGAAGAGCGTATACAATGAAAATCGAGTGTCTTTGGACACTCTCTGTACTCAGGTCTTTTGAGCTTTTCAAATAACAAGGTACCAAGGCTCCTAAAAAGCCAAAAAATGTGGATTCATACTGGCTGCTCTACTCAGAGATTTGGGCTTACAGATCTAATAGCTCCATTAAATGCATCGTCATTTTGTTGGAGGAGACAGTATAGAGCGGTAGTTAAGAACACAGACTGTGGAGACAGGCTGCTAGATGTAGAACCCTAGATCTGCCACTTGCTAGCTGTGTAGCCTTAGATAAAGTACTTAAGTTCTCTGTGCCCCAGTTTCTGCATTTGTAGCATCTCTTAATTTTTACACAACATGTAAAAAATACATCAGTTTTGTGGCAGGTAAGGAAGTTTGTACTTTTTGGTTTGTTTTTAAGACAGAGTCTTGCTCTGTCACCCAGGTTGGAGTGCAGTGGTGCGATCTCGGCTCACTGCAACCTCCACCTCCCGGGCTGAAGCTATTTTCATGTCTCAGTCACCCAAGTTGCTGGGACTACAGGTGCATGCCACCACGCCTGGCTAATTTTTGTATTTTTAGTAGAGATGGGGTTTCGCTATGTTGGCCAGGCTGGTCTTGAACTCCTGGCCTCATGTGATCTCCCTGCCTTGGTCTCCCAAAGTGTCAGGATTACAGGCGTGAACCACTGTGCCCAGCCTGGAAGTTTGTACCGTGGAGCTAATTCTATTCACCTTTTTATTTTTTCCCCACGAGCAGATTCAAGTTGCCCTGGATATATGCTTGCTGGAGCTAATTCTAACTAGACAAGTTGCTACAAAAGACAAGCAAATATCAACTGCATGAGTGTTAGCTCATCCTTGTCTCAACAATGTCTCACTCTGTCGCCCAGGCTGGAGTGCAGTGGCGCAACCTCGGCTCACTGCAAGCTCCGCCTCCCGGGTTCACGCCATTCTCCTGCCTCAGCCTCCCGAGTAGCTGGGACTATAGGTGCCCGCCACCACACCTGGCTAATTTTTTGTATTTTTAGTAGAGATGGGGTTTCACCTTGTTAGCCAGAATGGTCTCGATCTCCTGACCTTGTGATCCACCTGCCTCGGCCTCCCAAAGTGCTGGGATTACGGGCATGAGCCACTGTGCCTGGCCGAAACCTACTGTTTCTAAAAGGTCTGTTAGTAACCTCTAGTCTTTGGCAACTAAGAATTTTAAGAAATATTCAATAATTCTTTAACTTGACAGCTTAAGAAACCAGGTTGTGAAATAGTGGTTTTTAAGAGGGTTCTTATGTGGCTGATACTTTAGGTGCCATTAAATAAAATATTAGTACACATAAAATAATCTAAAATCCCAAAAGATAAGCTTTAGTGTTATGAAAACAAAATTTAGTTAACATATATTAAGAAAATGCTTAGTATTAAGTAAACCAAGAAAAAAAAGAAAAGAAATGGAAAGAAAAACCAGCATACTTCCTTCCAAAAGGAAGGTGATTTTGTCTTTTAGGTAAACCACTTAACATCAAAAGTTTTTTCAAAACAGAAAAAGTATCTATTATGAAAAATATATGTATATTACTGAATTAGCTGTATTTCATCTTGAAATTCTCAGAAAAAGATAAGGTAGATGTTGCAGCTTCCTTGATTTTAGAAGAAATACTACATTAGCAAACACTGAACCAAATAGGAAAGGGTATGAGGCTTATGGCTCAGGGTGCAGGCACTAAAAAAGTAGCGGTAACACAGCTAATAGGAATTCCTGCAAAAGTTTTGAAAAAAAGACTCCTCAACCAATTTGCTCTACAAAAGAAAAAACTTTCTTTTCTACTGTAGGCACTGGTATATGACTTTTGTTGCTGACCCTTCAGTAGGGCTCACAAATATATAAAATAGAACATAAATAAAAATTATATACAGTTAAAAGTATAATAGTCTAATACCAAACACATTTCCAGAGGTACCAAAGAAATCAGGTTACATGTGAAAACAGTATTTGAGTTATGTTGTAGTATCACTACATTTAATGATGTAAGGAGCTTCAGGACTATGAAGAAAATTTAAAATTATTATGTTATTCTTCACTAAGAAATAAACAGTACCTGTTGCAGTAGTCAACCACAGACTCCCTGGTTGTAAATAAAGCTTCCTCTCCTTTCTTGGCCTTTGCCCACTTTGAATCCAAAAGACAGTCCACTGCTTTTGAAGCTAAAGAAGAAATTCATTATTTTAAATTTAGCATACATGGGGATTTATGTCTATCTAAATAATATTTTATAAAGTAAAATTTCAACACTCTGGCAACAAAAAAGAAAACCAAACTCAACAGAAAACTAAATCTAACATGATCATGATTAGTAGTTCCCCAAAACCTCAACTTGTGAACTATATTAAGTATCTTTTAAAAGTAATGTTGGGAAATAATGGCATTCAGAAAGACCAACTAAAGCAAGTTAAATTAATGGGGAAATATTCAAAAATTTAAAATATCTGTATGTAACTATCACTCTTATTAATCACAAGCATATGTAGATAAACCAAAATGTTCACCACTCCCTGCAAGTAATAAAAATTCTCATCAAGTTTTACTCTAATACACTGAGGAAGAAGCTCTGTCAACAATCCACTGCTGTCACAAGAAACAGCTAAACATATTATATCTGAAGAGATTAGCACATCTACTTTTTAAAACTTGTAATGAATGTCAAATCATTAAAAACAGTAAAGAAAGAGACGATAAAGGACTTTTCCTCTACACTGGCAATTTAGTTTTTTTTTTCTTCTAAGAGACAGGTTCTTGCTCTGTCACCCAGGCTGGAGTACAGTGGTGGGATCATAGTTAACTGCAGCCTCTAACTCCTGGGCTCAAGCCATCCTCTCACTTCAGAGGCGCATGCCATCATACTCATCTAATTTTTTTGTAGAGATGGGGTCTCATTGTGTTGCATAGGCTGGTCTCGAACTCCTGGCCTCAAGCAACCCTCCTGCCTTGGCTTCCCAAAGTGTTGGTACTATAGGTGTGAGCCACGACACCCAGCTGCAATTCACTTTTAATTGATGAGAAAGGCAAACTCAACCCCTACTTATAAGCTCTGGTGTTATAAATGACATCAGCTTATAATGACATTGTTTGGGGAAAAAAAGCCAGTGCTCTTAGTTCCAAGTACGCATACTATCTAAACAAAAGGTAGTATTTTAAAACACTGAAAATAAATCCTATTTAAAAAAATTTCCAACAATTGTTATTAGAAAACATGTTATCTTTTTATTATAGACATTTTCAATCATAAAAGAAAAGAACAGAATAATCAACTGCCATATGTCCATCACCAGAACAATCACATTTGGAAAGCACTTTTAAAACTTCTACATATCCCAAATGTAGGTTAACTTCATAACATATGTACACTAATACGATTTTACTGATATAATCCTACCAATAAAATAATCAACCCGGTGACCCATCATATTGGTGGACTTTGTTGGACAGTTGAATCGAAGATACTTGGCCACAGCCTTCTCTTCTTTAGATGGTTCACCAACTTCCTGCAACATATGAATATTAATTTAGTATAATCATATACTTGAGAAATTCATGCGCTGAATAATAATTTACAAATCTATTTTATGAATCTTTTCAAGTGGAGTACAGGCCTTGCTTTCAAGCTTTCTCTGGAGCGACCTAATAAAGTATTCAAAAGACAAAAATGGAGATTTAAAGAAACTACGTTTTTCAAATATAAGTTGATAGAGGCAAAGCCTGTCTGCTTCTTGGCTTCAACTATGAGGCATTTGAGTTGTTTTTTCCACAATGGTAACTACTTTGTACCAGTTCACTTTCATTCTTATACGGTCTTTTTTTTTTTTTTTTTTGAGATGGAGTCTCACTCTGTTGCCTAGGCTAGAGTGCAGTGGTGCGATCTCGGCTCACTGCAACCTCTGCCTCCTGAGTTCAAGTGACTCTCCTGCCTCAGCCTCCCAAGTAGCTGGTATTACAGGTGCCTGCCACCATGCCCAGCTAATTTTTGTATTTTTAGTAGAGACAGGGTTTCGCCACGTTGGCTAGGGTGGTCTTGAACTCCTGACCTCAAGTGATCCGCCAGCCTAGGCCTCCCAAAGTGCTGGGATTACAGGCGTGAGCCATCGTCACCGGCCTATAGTCTCTTTTTATAAGCCACAAAACAGTAATTAAAAAGATAAGATGTTGCTAATAGTGAGTATCCAAATGTCAAAGTAAGTAGAAACAAGTGTCATAAATAAATGTTAAAATAACAGCCAAAGATATGTATCCTGAACAATGGACAACAGATCGCAGAAGGAGTTCTCAAATTAATCAATGACAGCTGCCCCCAATGTGGTAGCCATAAGAACTACTGACACAATGACAATTTGTATTCTCTTTCCTTTCCCCCTGTGGCTGCAGATACCAGACACTCCTGGGACTGTCTTTCTCATCTTCTCTTCTCCAGTAAGGGTGAGGCAAAAATGAAAAATGCAAAAAGAGTTATTACTATCTCATTTGAAGAGGTGATTAATGGAAGTGCACTGACAAAGAGTCGTTTTGGAAAGGCCGTTTTAATCCTTCTCTGCTTTCTTTCTTCTATATCTTTTCCCAAATTTTCTATTATTTTCTTCATTGTTTCTCATTCCCCATCTTCCCTTTATTCCCTTTCATTCTGAACTTCTTTGACAATTCCTCCTGTGAATTTATTTTCCCTACTCACGTACTGAAGAAAATGAAGGCAGTCTATCTTTGTATACATCTTATGTATAAACTTTCAAAAGCTGTCTTATTGCTGTAAGCTATTGAAACAAATGCACTGTACTTAATTACTGTCTATAATTGCATGCTTAAGCACAATACACAGAACATTCAGTATTTCCAGCAACATATAATCTAAATGTGAATGATTTCAGGAAGGGCTGCTTCATTAAAGAATAAAATGACAAATAATAGTAAAAAATAATCTGGCAAGAATCTAAGATGCTAAGAATTAATGCTAAAGACAGCTGTTTCAAGCAAAAAAAATCTAATGATGCAAAATAGAAAAAAGAATCTATCCAACTTATCTATGTTGGGTTTTTCCAAAGTTAAGAGAAGTCTGAATTAAGTTATGTTTGAGGAAAATAAAGAACAACCAACAAACCTACGTTTCAGCTTTAACTTTATCCCAAAAAGGAATAATTTGTTAGATGAAGTGGAAGTTTTTGTTTTGGTTACTGAGTCTCCTGGCAGGTACATCTCTCATTTCTTCCTTTGTATTTCGCAAGTCCTCTACTTCCAGTAGCCCAATTACCTGTGTAAGATCATACCAGTGTACAATTCCTACAGTCTGCAACTACCAGCTGTGGGCTATTTGTGGCAATAAAAATTAAGAGCCCAAATCACTCAACCCAAAAGAAGGCTACTATAAAAACCAAGTATTTATGAAATTAAAACTTTTATATATGAAAATACGTATCACAAAAAGTAGATTTTTTTTTTTTTTTTGAGACGCAGTCTTGCTCTGTCTCCCAGGCTGGAGTGCAATGGTGCTATCTCATCTCACTGCAACCCCCACCTCCTGAGTTCCAGCGATTCTCATGCCTCAGCCTCCCGAGTAGCTGGGATTACAGGTGCCCACCACCATGTCCGGCTAATTTTTTGTATTTTTTGTAGGGATGGGATTTTACCATGTTAGCCAGGCTGGTCTCGAATTCCTGACCTCAGATAATCTGCATGCCTCAGTCTCCCAAAGTCTTGGGATTACAGGCGTAAGCCACCACGCCCAGCAAAAAACTGGAACCTTAAAAAATGGCAAATTCAAAATTTAACACTCCAAGTTCAGGAACAACTACAAGATTCATAATGATTTATTTGAGGCCTGACTGCAAAATATACTTTCTGATATAATAAAAGGCAAAAATTCCTAATTAAAATTTTTGAAACCATGCTAAAATATATTAATATATGTTAGTATCAGGCATATTAAATGATAGTATTTAATTATGTTTGTAAAATACACTACACTTCGCAGAGCCTCAATTAGTAAATAATAGTCTATATATCCATACATCTGAAAAAGTAATACTATAAAAGTTGAATACTATAAATGGTTTATAGAAACCAATTCTATTATATAATCACACCACACATGCTCAATTTTTTCCTCATCTGATACATCTGTTGTCAACTTAAAATCGATCTAATTAAATAACTTGTTACTGGGAGGTGCTTGATTAAAAATTGTGGGGGAGAAGTCTGAATAAATGTGACCTGTTCTTCCAGACTTACAGAGTACTCACCCTATCATCTTTGGATGCTACAGTTAACAGCAAAGATTTGTAAGGCATGATATGTACACTCTGTTACATAACTGTTAGAAGCAGTAATTATTATTTCCCAAAAAGAGGGGCAGAAAAAATATTTTTGAAATACACAGAGTAGGATGGGTTGGGTGGCTCATGCCTGTAATCCCAGTACTTTGGGTGGCTGAGGCAGGCAGACTGCTTGAGCCCAGGAAACCAGGCTTGAGACCAGCCTGGGCAACATGGTGAAACTCCTTCTCTACATAAAAAAAAAAAAAAAAAAAAGATAGAAAAAGGTGCTACACATGTGTAGTTCCAGCTACTCAGGAGGCTGAGGTAGGAAGACCACCTGAGCCCTGGTAGGTTGAGGCTGCAGTGAACCAAGATCATGCCACTGCACTCCAGCCTTGGCAACAAAGTGAAAGCACCCAAATTAGGAGTGAGATTATCAATGTGGATGGGAACACTGGAAGAGGAAGATAAAGTTTGAAAGATGAACAAGTTTTGGGTAAACTGACTGAAAAGCCATAAATATTGTGGCTGAGAATGACACAAAATTTGGCTCTAGTAGAGACAAGCTAGGAAGTACTGGGAGATTAAGTGTGTAAAAGCAGAATAGTCATCAAGGTAGGCAAGGAAATTTCTACTTTACCCTGTAAGCAGCAGAAAGACCACTAGTAGTTTCTTAATAGGACATAACTAGAAAAATGATTTAGACATGATTTTGGTGGCTGTGTGTAGGATGAACTGGAAAAAAATGCATAAGGCAGGGAAATGGATGGAAGACTACTGTAATATTCAAGTAAATTGTAGTGTGATACTGGACTATAAATGGGAAAGAAATTTAGATATCTGAAACATTTCAAATGTAGAACACATAGAACTCAATGATAAAGGATAAATAAAATGGCTAGGTAAAGATGTCAGATTTCCAACTTTATCAACAGAAAGGAAATGTGGAAGGAAAGTAATTGTAGAGAATGACCATATCAAATTTAGGCATGATACAAATATACTCATACTAACACTCAGTTATACCATTCCTGAATACAGACATAAATATACTAATCTACTGACTGCTGATAGAGGCATCACATGTAAAACCTGATTAAATATTAGGGTACATAAAAAATTGAGAAGCTGATTACATATTACGCAATAGGGAACCTGATATGTATGCACAAAATTTAAAAATCTCATTCTAACAATTAATTTCAAGTTCACCAAACTCTTCTAAAACTGCACCCTGTCCTTTGTAAAGGCACTATCAAGAGGCAATGAAAGGAAGAGACCAGAAAACACGGACTTGGATAATCTCTCCCAACTAGACACAGAATTAACTTGTTTACTGATACTTTCTTAAAGTATTGCAATTTATTAACTTATAATAACTTATCCATATTGTAGACTGCCTTCAATGCAACAATATAATTTGTGCCATTGCTTTGGCGTTGAAGCCAGAAAGATAGATTGCTGTAGAAGAGTACCATGAGAGGCAGGGCTCAGTGGCTCATCCCTGTAATCCCCACCACTTTGGGAGGCCGAGGTGGATCGCATGAGACCAGGAGTTTAAGACCAGCCTAGGTAACTTTCTGATACTCCATCTCTACAAAAAATTAAAAAAAATTAGCTAGGTGAGGTGGTGCACACACTTGTAGTCCCAGCTAGTTGGGAGGTTGTGGCCAGAGGATCACTTGAGACCAGGAGTTTGAGTCTCTAGTGAGCTATGATGCCATCACTGCATTCCAGCCTGGGCACCACAGTGAGACCTTGTCTCTTTAAAAAAAAAAAAAAAAAGTACCATGAGAACATGAACAGATAGTTGGGATTACAAGCACAAGCCACCACATCCAACGTGCATGCAGTCTTCACTTTCACTGTTCTCCTGATGCAGCATAAGAAGGTATAAAAGTTTTACCTTCTTTTTGTTTATACATTGGACTACAGTACCTCCCCCTCTTTGTTCTCTTTTGATGTAAACAGAATATTTTTATAATTTTCCTAGAAGACTTCTAACAAAGTGAAGGCCTTTTGGGAATAGTAGCACCCACTAATAAAGAGAAACCAACCTATCAATCTTCAAACAAATGGAGAGAACTTCTTAGTTCAATGAATGAACACAACTGTCTTACAATGAGGAAGCTAAGAGCCAATAAATTTAGGCTGGACTGCCTTTCCTTTCTTTGCACCCAACACCAATACACTGGGTGCTGTAACTTAAAATACAAAATTATTTAAATTGGAAGTTTGGTTAGAATACTCTTATAAAATTCTTTAATAAATACTGTTTTTTACTTTAGAATACACCGACACTCAAATACTATAATAAGATAGAGTTTGACATTTCTAAGTTATTTTAGCCAATATTTAACCTTTTTGAGAAAAAAATCAAGAGTAAGTATGTCACAGGCACCAATCTTACAGAATTTGTGATACAGAGGAACTTTTAAAAATTACTACATCCAATAAAAATTAGCTTAGTTGATCTGTCAACCATGAACTGAGCAAAAAAGAAAAAGGCTTGGTTCAAGCAGTATAAAATATTTGTGAAAAATGCAAATAGTAGTTTAACAATAAGATCTGAAAGCTGGAGGGGACCTTAATCATTAGTAACAATATGTGCTACACAAATAACACTATACAAGAGTATCTAGACAACAGCAGTGCCCTTCTGTAATAGCTCCAACTCCCTTCTATTGTATTCTTTCCTTAGCAATGGGTTTGCTAAACTGCAAAACCCTCCATTAAGCCTTTGAGGGGTAGTTTTCTGATTTAGGACTGGCTTCCTGAGTTCTTTCTCTTCAGAATATTCAGAGTCAGAAATTAGACCTGTATAGTCTGGCTATATAGTCCCAAATTTTCTCTTTTCTTCCCTGTCCTGAAATTAAGCACATAAGCCCATGATATGTCAAGGTTTTATTGCTTGCCAGGAAGACAGATGGGTGCAACAAAAATAACTAATGGAGGGTTATAAAAGTTCTAAGAATTAGCCATTTAAATGTCTCAAAACTCAACTGGACATTAAGCAGAATACTGAATGGGATGATTCTCTTTAGCAAGGACAAGTCATGTTAAGTCTTTACGTTGCATAATTCAATAATAAAGAAGTCAGGATTAAAGTATTTCAAAGCAACTTATTTTTTATCTATTGTGAGACAGAAAGAGTATTCAGTTGGGAATCAGAAGACCTGGTCTAAATCTGGTTTTACTATCTTGATTGACGATCCTGGATTAAGTCACAAAACCTCACTGGACCTCAGTTTATCTGAAAAACGAGGGTGTTGGGTGAGATCAGTCAGCTGTAGGATCACCACTCTGCTTTCATGTTAAGACTGAATTTATGAAAAAGGCTTCCAAACAAACCCTACTAGATCCTTTTAAACTCTAAAATTTCTTGATACCAGGATTGTAAATCAACTTCTACTATGCAGCAGCACATTGTTAATCTATATGTAGTTACTGTATGAGTACATGTAGCTCACTTCTGGTTTTCAGTGACCAGTAATGAGTCCAAGAAGGAAATGTGACAACAGTCCTCTTGCTAGAAACTTCGATGGGACACGAGAATCTGAAATTATACTGAATTACAAAGAAAAAGCAAATTAGCTACTTTTTTTTTTAACCCTGAACTTATTTGTTTGTATCAAACATTTCTCCCCAATGTGCAAAGTATAATTAAAGATCACTGAATCTATTAACCATCTTTCTAAACATAAAACATCAAGCAACAAATGACAGAAACTCAGTTGGTATTACAGACCTTTTGCCTAAAAATTCTACAACAGGATCTTTTTTGTAAGTTAAACTCTGAACTTTTCATTACATTTGATCTTTTTATCACAAGTGATGTATTATAGTTTCTGATTATCTGGAATGATAAAACTGAGGTACTTTCTAGGCTAGTATATTTTCATAAGTGTGTTAGGCTGCATGAAAGTAGTACTCTAAGATCTCTCACAAACATTTTATACAGCCATGTAGAAAATTTCAAGGACAGAAAAATAAATGTCACTTAATTTTGCAGTATGCCCAGTAGATTTTAATAATCAATCCTCAAATAATAGAAAGTAAACAGCTATACTCTACATAACTCCCAACCTAATAGTTTACTGAATAGAGGGTTGTTAATCTTTCTTCAGCATATCAAAGAGTAGTTAACAAAAAATAAAATAACAATCCAATCTAAATCCTTCATCCTGGGTAAGGAGTAGAATAGAAGGGAGGGGCTGCGTGCCAAACACTTTTAATAACTTTTAATAAATAAGTTGACTCACCTATTATTTTCACAGCAATCTTAAAGTTTTTCTTTTTTCTTGCTTTTTTTTTTTTTGAGGTAAATATGTTTTCTTACCGATGCAGACAGGGAGGTAAAAATTAACTTGCTCAAAGTTACTCAGCCAATAATTGGTGGAGGTGGGGTACAAACAGGCAGTTTGGCTCAAGTTTTAGCTCTCTGCCACTGTCACATTACTCCACAGCCTCTGTTTAATATAAGATCACAACTAAATAAGAGCAGCTATTCAAAAGGTGAATTATATAGCCCTTACAACAATATTAAAGAGCAACTGGAATTGTAAAACAATGTGTATTGAAGGGCATAAAATTGTACTGTCAAGTGTAAATCTAAGGAGTTCTGTAAGTACAAATCTGACAGACAATTTCAATATACAATCTAATAAAATACTGTATACCCACGTCAGAGGAATAACACTAACTCTTGAAAGATTAAGAACAGTATAATTAGAAACTTCTACTGATCTTAAGACCTAGTCTTATCTGTCTGAACTCGAAATCTGCCTCTTTCTAATTCCCTTCTGCACCCTGTTCGGAACTACTTTATTTCTGCCAAATTCCAAAATTCCAAATTTACTGATCATGTGTGTCTTTTTCACAGCACTTAAAAAGTTTACAGAAGAATTTTAACTTGCATAGCTCAAAACATCTGTATTGTACGCCAATAAATCGATAAACTTAAAAAAAAAAAGAAGGGATAAAATGGAAGAAAGAAAAAATCATTCTAAGCAATGAAATAGTAAGGAACAGAAAGGCAATGATGAATGTAACAATTTATGATTATAGTAACAATTTACTACATGTGATCAATTTGAGGGCTTATGAAGGTTTCTCAGCACATCAGCTGATGAGACGACTAATAAATATCCTGAGTCCAAGATGTTCTACATAATTAATCCTCTTGGCAAAGAACAAGAACCAGGGAAAATCGCAAGGAAGAAATGCACAAATGACACGCATGTGGAATTAGGGGGAGATGTTATGTACGTTACTACGAGGATGACACACTGGCATGTGAAAGGTTTCTGGGCTCCACCAGCTCGTTGCAGCACCAACGAGGTTGTGGTTGTTTACACCACGTCGCCCGGAAAAAAGCCGGCAAGCTTCAAGTGGACTATTAAGTTAATAATATTGAAGGGAAAGAAGGGCAACGCAACTGAACATCTGGATGAGCAGATCCCTGCCTAGGCCCCGAGGCAGCTGACCAAGTCCAGATCATTCCCCCTTACGGTCTATGCGCACAAAGAACCAGCTGCTTTAGGTCAGTCCGCCGCCTCCTGCTACCCCTATTACCGTGGCCTTAATTTCAGGCCAGCTAAGGCCAGAGGATGGGGTGAAGGGAGGGGAGGAGCCCCGGGAAGGGTCAGCGTCTGCGCCCCAGGGGAGGCTGACCTTCCAGCTCAGGCCCGGGACAGCGCGACCACAGGAACTCCAGGCCCACAGCCGCGCCTCCGCAGCCGGATTCTGAGCGCGGCGCCTCCTTCCTTCCCCTGCTGCTCCACCACCACCTCCGTCTCTGTCTCCGCCGTCGCCAACACCGCCCCCCCTCAGGCCCCTCACAACGCGCAGCCTGCAGCCAGCTGCCTCGCGGCGGAACCCCACCCCACCCCACCCCACCTCGCCCTTGCTTTCGCTCGCCCTTTTAGGGGGCTTTCCCCGCCCCTTCCACTATCCAGCGCGCCGAAGCCCCCTGCCCAGAGCTCGGCTTTGCTACCTGGATCCGCTTCTTGTGTCTCCTGCGTTCCGCCATGTTGGCCGCTCCGCCCGGTTCCCTCTGACGTGGAGCGAGGAGGGGGCGGTGGAAACCTCGCGAGAACGCGCCCCGAGGCCCGTTATGTAATCCGCCGGCTGGCGCCCCTGGAATGGGGAGGTCGGCCGCCTGGCGGGGCCAGCGGTCCTTAGCGGTGCCTTCTCTCCCCTCTTCCCTCCGCTCCTGCTGTGCGGGAACTGGAGAATCGTTAGGACGTGGAGGAAGCAGAGAAGTGGATCAGAGAACAGGAGGGCTGGGAAGAGTCCTGGTTTCTCAATCCTGACTGAGCATCTGAATCACCTGAGAAGCTACTAAAATGCAGATTCCCCGACCCCATCCCCTTAGAGTCAGAGTCTGTGCATTTAGGGTGCGGCCTTTCTCAGAGGGATCGACTGAGACCTACTGAACCCTAGAAGTCTTTACCTGAGGCAGTTCCTGCAATGTACTGTATATTTCATGACATTCCATGTAAAAGATGACAAGACCGAGACCGTTGAGTGACAGAGATAAGAACTGACTTATCTAAGGCTCCACAGGTGGTAGATGGCAGAGCCGAGACCTGAGCCAATTATCTTTTCTCCTGCACTGTGCGGGGTAATACAGCTCGTTTAAAACAAGCTGGAGTCTCCATTCCGTTTTCCGCGTTGCTTCTCACAACTCACTGTTAGAATCCAGAAGTAAGAGAACCCGGGGAAGCGTAAGGAAGATGAATAGGACAAAGATTCTAAGAAGGTGGGAAGGAAGAAGGCTGCAGTCTATTTCAAGTCTGGTGAATTTCAATCACTGTAGCCTTTATTGTTATTTTAGAGCCACCTAGACCAAAAGAGAAGGAGCTCAAATTGCTGGTAAGTGCTTAGATAGAAATTCCCTTGACTGACTTTATAGAGATCTTTAAAGCGTTTTTAATTGTAGAAAATTGGGAAAATTCAGAATAGAAAGATGTTCTTTTTTTTTTGATGCTGAGTTTCGCTCTATATTGCCCAAGCTGGAGTGCAGTGGCGCAGTCTCGGCTCACTGCATCACCGAACTCCTCGTCTCAACTGATCTCCCTCCTCAGCCTCCTGAGTAGCTGGAACTACAGGCATGAGCCACCACACCTGGCTAATTTTTACTTTTTTTGTGTGGAGATGGAGTTTCCTTATGTTGCCCGGGCGGGTCTTGAACTCCTGGGCTCAAAACGATCCACCTGTCTCTGTCTCCTGAGTAACTGGAACTACAGGCGTGAGCCACTGTGACCGTTCAGTTTATTTTCTTATAGTATTCTGACTTTGTGTGTGTGTGTGCATGTGTGTTTGTATTTATATTTTTTCCTGTTTCCCAAATTGAGATCATATGCAATAAGGCAGCTGCTTTTTTCACTTAATGTTAGGTTGTAAGCGTTTATTATACCATTAAAATTTTTTTCCAGGTTTCCCATATTATATATCTAACCTAAGAGCAATTAAATATGTAAGTAAGGCAAATTGCAGCATCTTGATGCCTAATTTTTTAATAAAGTAAGATTGCTGAATTTTTTTTTTTTTTTTGGACTATGCAGTTCTGGTCTCAGGAGTCATTTAATTCCTTTCTCCTCTATAATCTATAATTTGGGTGTGTGTATAGTCAGGGATGGGGTGAGAAAGAAGTAATTATTCTTGCCAATTAACCCAAAACATAATATAGAATATGAAATGTCTTTATTTCCTTCAATCCCTCTACCCACCCAGAATGATGAATCTGTTTTGTGCTGTTTTATGTGGACATAAACACTGGACTATTTTATAGGAGACCTGGTCTATAAATGAAAATATTATTGCATTCAGTAGGTATTGAGTGCCTACTAGATAGATGTCAAATGTTAGGTTAGGACTATGGTGGGGAATAAAAATCCTTTATAGACAATGACTCATCCTCAAGTTACTGCCTTACTATTTTCTTCATCAGCAGAGCTTTAATTTAGTGTCCTCTTGTTCTGTCATTCACTCCTTAGATTACAACAATTTGGTTTCTACCTCCACCATCCAGTAACAATTATTTTGTCAAACCCAATACCTTCTCTCAGCTGGCATCTTACTCAGTATTTGACAATATTGACTGTTCTTCTTGACTTCTTTTCCTTCTTTGGCATGTATATCAACTTCTTTCTGATTTCTCGTTGACTTCTCTCCTTTTACCCAATTCTCACATGTTCCTGGCCACCGTTTTTATATGTTCACCTTCCTCTTGTCTCTTCTATTTGTGCATTCTGTTTACAGATTAATTCCAAAATACTGCATTCATGTTTAATTCCAGATTTCTTCTGGATGTTTCCACTGGATGTCCAACTAAAAATCACCATTTCCCCAGCAAAACCTGCCCCTTTTACTGTAAAAATCTAATAACTACATCGTTGTTCACTCAATTACTCATGCTAGAAACCTTGGATGCATCCCAACCATGCCTTTCTGCCAGTCAGTCACCAATCCTGTTGATTCTACAGCTGAGATATTTGGAATTCTTCCCTCCCTTATCATTCCCATTACCATTGCCTTGTTCAAGTCCTTATCATCACCTACGTGAACTAGTATTGCAATGGCCTTTTAATTGTTCTCCTCACTTCTATGCTCTTTACACTCCAGACCTTCTTCCTTCCATGACTCCCTGTTGTGTGTAGCAGCATGAATGATGGCTAATGTTCACACATATAACCTCAGATTTATGGGTCAAATTTCTGGGTCTCCTTTCCATTTAATATTTATATAAAAATATTTATATAAAAATAGCTCAAATCCTTTTCCCAGCACACCATCTATATTATTGATGGTGGCAGTAAGGAGTTTCCCCTAGCCACTTCTAGTTCCAACTTACTTTTGAATTTCCAATTTTACTCTTATTATTTGACAGTTATTTCTCTCCCAAACGAGGAGTATTTTTTGTTATTGTTGTTGTTGTTGAAGACAGGGTCTTGCTCTGTCGCCTAGGTAGGAGTGCAGTGGTGCGATCTCGGCTCACTGCAACCTCCGCCTCCTGGGCTCAAGGGATTCTCCCACCTCAGCCTCCTGAATAGCTGGGACCACAGGTCGTGCCACCACACCCAACTAAATTTTTTAATTTTTTGTAAAGACAGGTTTCTCCATGTTGCCCAGGCTGGTTTCTAACTCCTGGGCTCAAGCAGTCTGCCTGCCTTAGCTTCTCAAAGTGCTGTGACTACAGGCATGAGCCACTGCACCTGGCCCCTGTTCTTTCTTTTGCCAAAGCAAAACTATTAGTTACAAGAGACTTTACTGGAGATTTTTGAGGAAATGAGTTATATTTATTCATTCATTAAACAAATGTTTATTGAGGGCTTATTATGTGCCAGTCCTTGTTCTAGACACTGAGGATATACTAGTGTTCAAGAGGCAAACATCCTGCTCTTGTGGAGCTTATATTTTGGGAAGAAGAGAACAGACTGTAAAACACAAGAAGGCAAATTATATGGTACAGTCGTCCATCAGTATTGGCTGGGGATTAATTGCAGGACCCCTGTCAAAAATCTGTAACAGTGAATGACAGTGAGTAAATCAGGATTAGTTCTAGATTTTAGATGCTTAAATCTGCAGATGCTTAAGTTCCTCATAAAAAGTGATACAGTATTTGCATATAACCTATGCACATTCTCCCATATACTTTATATCATCTCTAGATTACTTATAGTACCTAGTACAATGTAAATGCTATGTAAATAGTTTTTATACTATGTAACTTTAAAATTTGTATTATTTTTATTGTGGTATTGTTATTTTCTGTTAATTTTCTTTCCCAAGTATTTTCAATTGGTTGAATCAGCAGATGTGGACCCTTGGATAGGGAGGGCCCACTGTATGTTAAAAGCCTTACAATAGAAACAAAGCAGGGTAAAGGGACTGCTTGCAGTGGGAAGGAGGATGTAATTGGAACTTAAATGGTCAGGGCAGTCCTCTTTGAGGAGATCCACTTTGACCAAAAACGGCATGAAGAAGAAGAAGGAGCAAGGCCAGTGGGTGTCCTAGGAAACCATACTTAAGGTAGAGTGAACAGCATTTACAAAAGTTCAGAGGTGGGAGAGTGCAGGTGTGTTTGAGTAATAGTATGGAGGTCAGTGGCTAAAGCAGATTCAATAGAGGAAGAGGAGTAGGTGATAAGATCAGAGGGAAATGGGGCTAGATTGTGTAGGCCATTTAATGACTTTGGCTTTCACTCTGAGTAAAATGAGGGCTTCAGAGGGTGTGCCACGATGGATTAGGGTTAGAAGAATGACATAAAATGGCTTCTGTTTAGAAAGGACCGTGATTGCTGTGTTGTGAATAGACTGTGAGAGGAGATACAGGGATAGAAGTGGGGACATAGGTTATTGCAGCAAACAGGTGAGAGATGATGGTGGCTTAGACTTGGGTGTTTGCTACAGAGGCAGTGGGACATCTTGGATTCTGGTTATATTTTGAAGGTAGAGTCAATGAGATTCTGAATATGAGGGAAAGAGAGGAATCAAGGATAACTTCAAGATTTTTGGTTTGACCAACCAGAAGAATGGAATTGTAACTTACTAAAATGAGAAATATAAGAGTGAAAGAAGTTTGGCATGAAAATATAGAAATTTAGTTTTTGGTGTGTTAATGTGAAGAAGCCTAATGGACATCCAAGAGGAAATATGGATTGCACAGCCACCTATATGAGAAGCAGATTTCAGGGAGAAGTCTTGGCTGGAGGTATAAATTTGGGAGTTGAATGGAATCAGAATATGTTGCCCCCCCAAATATGCCACTTTGGCATAAGGATAATTTTGACCTGAAGGCAAATGAGAAAATCAGACACAGCAAGAGCTCTCTGTCCTTATCTGCCTAAAAGAGCATAAATTCTCACAAAGGTGTCCCCATTCTTCTCCCATACCGAGACAAGGAAAACAACCCTTACCACCAGAAGTGGAGACAGCACCAAGATGAGTCTGCACAAAGAAACCTTACTATAATCCTTATCTACCATTAGTTTCCCCTATATTTTTACCTTCTCACAGTTTACCACCTGTATAAACCCAAACCCCCTTTTCTTTATCTAGTTACTTCTCTTCAATTTATCACCCTTTGTTAAGATGGCATATAAGCCCCGAAGTCTAACCACTTCTTTGATTTTTCACTTCTTTTCCATGAAGCCCTCATGAATGGTAAAAATATTAACATCAAATAAAATTGGTACACTTTTCTTCTGTTAATCTGTCTTTTGTCAGTTTAATGCATAGGCCTCAGGTACAGAACCTAACAGGATAGGGAAATGTTTTTCTTCCCCTACAGAGTTATCAGTGCATAGATGGTATTTAAGTCCAAGAACCTGAGGGATCACTTGCCTCCCACCACCCTCCAGGATGTCTCACAGACTTCTGCTTTTCATCCCACCTCTCTAATCCTTTCTTCTCAATCTTTCTTGCTGGGTTCTCCTCTTCCACTCTTCCTTCCAATGTTAGAATGCTAATGGCTTTCCTATCTCTTTATATGCTTTAATCCATAACATAGAGCCCACAACTTAAATAAGGAGTATTAGGTATTGATATCTAGGAGTTCCCTGGCCATCCCTGTAGGCCCTCCTCATGTCCTTTCCCACTGCTCCTGACTACCTGCCTACTTTTCTTCACTCACTCTAGAATACTTCCCACCCTTCTGAATCTCTTCTCTTTGCCCCTGGGCTCTGTCACTTCTCCCTAGGGTTGTCTCTGAAATTCAGAATTTTCCTTGCTTTATACAGTAGACAAATTGGGCTCTTTACTCTCTATTGGATTCCTTTGGACATGTTTTTGTAAATTAAGAAATTCATTACCATGTTGTGCTAAACAAAGCATTCTCCAATCTAGATCTCTCTCTCTGGAGGACTGATGAATAGGTAGGAACTTGAAAAAATTCAGTTTCCTGGGAACTTCCATCTCAGCAAGTGGAAGGGAATAATATAGAAATGTATTCCTATTGATCAGACTTATGCAAACTGGGAGCTGATAGGTTTAGTTTTTTGTTCTAAATAATACTTTCTCTGGGTCCATTTTATATGTTAAACATATATATGTGACAAAATCAAAGAGAAAATTCTAGGGAACTAGAGCAAATAACAGACCTTTTTTTGATGTCGTTTGTATAAAAGCAGTTTAGAATATGTAGTTAATAATGTTAGTGATTTAATGTTATCACAAAGAAAAAATAAATTTAATATAAAATAGCTCTAATATAAAATGCAATGAATCTAATATTATTTAAGAGGCAAATTAATATTTTAAAATAAGTTGATACTTCTACTCAAGAAATGGCATAAATTTAGCCAGGCATGGTGGCATGTGCCTGTAGTCCCAGCTACAGGGAGGCTGAGGTGGGAGGATTGTTTGACCCCAGGAGTTCGAGGCTGCAGTGAGCTGTGTTTGTGTCGCTGCACTCCAGCCTGGGGGACAAAGCAAAACTTCGTCTCTTAAGAAAAAAAAATGGCATAAATAAGACAGTAAGTATATAGAAAAACAAACACAAATACTGTTTTGAAAAAGTGTAACAAATTTTAACTTGCTAATACTAGACTAAGAATATATAAAAATAATCACTTCATCTTCTTAATTAAAATGGTAATTATTTTGCCATTTTGAACAGAAAAGGTAGCAGTATCATTCTCATTCACATATGGAGTTCTCATGGTTTCCCCTTACATTTGCTTCGTCAAGGTTCAATGCAAAAGGGAAATTAATGTAGTTTTTTAGTTAGAAAGATACTTAATTAGGAGAATTAAATGCTTCCAAAATCATTGAAAGTGTGAAGGACCATGTGCCATGTTGGTCCTGCCTGAATAACTGCCAGACCCTACAGGACTAACCAGCCGGGGGAACCTCTACCTTTGGGGAGCCAGGAGGCCACTGTGACAACACTGTGTTCAGTAGACTACTAGGAGAGCTGTGATCCAATTGCCAGGAAGCCAGGATCAGAAAGTTCTTGCCAGCACTGCTGCTGTTGCCTCCTACTCTCACAAAGATCAAGACTGCATGCTAGAGTGATGCTGTAGAAAAACCATCTCCATGACCTTGCTGGGCAGCAGCAGCAGGAAGATGGCCTCCTTGTCACATTTGTCCTTCTGATATTCTACCAGTGCATCTAATTAGAACTGGAACTCTAGTTGAGGGAGTCTGGGAAATGAAGACTAGCTTTCCATCTTTTGCTGTGTGCCAGTTGACCATATCTAATATCACTGTCTTCTTTCTTAAGGTAACCACTTCACTCCTACCTTTTCACCTTCCTAAAGAACAACTGTGAGACCACTCTTCTCCCGTCACTCCTCTACCTCACCATTTATGCTTCCACACCTACGTGTTTTCTTCTTCTTCTTTTTTTTTTTTTTTCTTCTCCTTCCCACCTGGCCTATCCTTCAAGGGTCAGGTAACATGTTACCCCCACAGTGGAAGCTTCTCTGAATTATTTCTTCAGCAAACTCAATTGACCCTTTTTCTGGGCTCCTACAACATTTTGTAAAAATCACTGCTATAGTACATATAATTGACATCATAAGTTGTTTTTCTTTCTGCCAGACTGTGAACCTTTCAAGGGCAGGTACTATGTTTTAGTTTTCTGTTCTCAATGTCTAGTCCAGGGTCTGGCTCAGAGTAAATAAATTGTTGATGGAGTGAATAATAAATGATGAAAATGGCATAATCTTTGTCCTCTGGAGCTTTAGTAAGTGAGGGAAAGATATTTATGAGGCAGACAAAATTCTACTGAGAGGTCTTCATCATATCCCAAAGACTCTATTTTCTATATAGTCCTCTGTGGAATTTAGAGACAACCAATTTGACAAGAAGCTTCCCTAGATTTGGTTGAGGAAGCCCTTCCCTGTGCAAGAAGAGAGATTCTGGGAATCAGTCATTTGCCCAGTTTCTTGTAAGTGTAGACTTACCTGAGAACAGAGACATGTAAACATCCACTCTCTCAACCTATCTCCAATCCAGCAATTTGAGAGGAAGTATAGGGTTTGGCAAAGCTAAATCTCCAAAATGAAAACCTCTTGGGCAAGTAAAGGCAGCTAAACCTCATAAGTTGTTAGTATACCCAGACTTTGTTTCTTGTGCAAGCCCATCTATTAAGATGGACAGGCATGATGGTTCATGCCTGTAATCCCAGCTACTTGGGAGGTTGAAGTGGGAGGATCTTGGTTGAGCCTAGGAGTTCAAGCTATGATCATGCCAGTGCACTCCAGCCTGGATGATAGAGAGATCCTGTCTTGAAAATAAAAAAAGAAGATGGAAAGGGGAGTGGGATGGCAAAGGTCAAGAAGGAAGACTCAGCACAGAATCCAGGGAAGTTATGAGGGCCAAGGAAACTAAGACTTCCAGACCTGGACCTCACTTGCCGATTGGGAAAAAATCCTCAAACCTATTCCTTCTTACACTGGCCTCAGATGATTTTCTGACAACTCTTGTACTCATGTGCTGTTGTCCAGCTGATGTTTAATAATGTGGATGTCTCTGAAATGAAAAGAACAATAGGCCAGCAAACCTTACAGACTGGATATTTTACCTTTTAGGTAAATATTTAAATAATTTGGCAGAGGTTGTTATAAGTAGTAATTATGGGTCCACCCCTAAATTAAGGCTACTAGTTATTCAATTATTTTTCCTTGAGTATTTATATAAGAAACTACTAAACGATAACACTTTATAATCTTCCGTGTCATGTAAGAAATGTTCCGCTTCCTGTGGCTCCAATTATTCTATCATTTTTTTTTATTCTACATATTGCCTCTAGGTTATACAGTTTTTTTCCTTCCCCTGGTAAATGAAATCACTACATTTAAAGTGGTATATTGCTATATTTTAGGCAAACAGCAAAAAATATAATAGGTTTCTTGCCTAAGCTGTACCTCCTAAGGAAAGGGATTTGGGGGTCTTGATTTTTCATCTGCCAAATGGAAAATCTTCTATCCATTTTCACCCAGTAACTGACAATCTGAAGGTCAGTGTATTTAGTGCTCGATTGTCATAATAAAATAGTCCCCAGCAGAGATGTCTTCAGATTATTGCAAGGGCAAACCAGGATTACTGAAATATTTTCACATACAATTGTTATACTGACCTTCAACTTCTGATAATAAAATAAATGCTGAAATTTTAGAGAGTGCTTTTAAGAAATGCCTGAATAAGCCAACATTTGACTAATCAAAGGATAAGTTTACTTGTCCAGTTTTAAATTCAAGCATGAATATAATTTTTGTAATTAATATGTATCTTTACACTCTCTACAAACCAATATTGTAATAAGTGAATTTTGCTGTCTTAGTTTTTAAAATTTATTTTTATTATTCCCAACTTGTCCTTTTGAAATGCTTTTAGACTTATTGAGAAAGTTGCAAAAACTAATATGAAGAATTTTCACATACTTTTTACCTAGCTTCTACAAATATTATATTATGTAACTATAGTACCATTTTTGAAACAGGAAATGAACTTAGTATTACTAAGTAATCTACAGACCTTATTCAGATTTTGTCAGTTGTCCCATTAGTGGACTTTTTCTGTTCAGGATCCAGTCCAAGCTCACCAGTTGCATTTAGTTTTCATGGTTCCTTGGTCTCCTTTAATCTGGGACAGTTCCTCAGTTTTTCTCTTTCATAACTTTGACTCTTTGAAGAGTACTGGCCAATTATTTTGCAGAATGTTCTTCAATTTATGTTTGTCTGTTATTTCCCAATGATTTAATTCAGGTTATACGTTTTGTCAAGAATATCATAGAAGTGACATTGTACCCTTCTCAGTGTGTCTTGTCAGGAGGAAAGTAGTTGATGTGTCTTGTCATTGGTAATGAGGCACTTTGATCACTTAGTTAAGATGGGATCTGGCAGGTTTCACTGCTGTAAAGTTACTGTTCTTTCCTTTGAAATTAATATGCATCTTATGAGGGGATACTTTGAAACTATGTAAGTATTCTGTTTTTCATCATACTTTTGTCTATTAATTTTAGTATCCATTAATTATCTCTGCCTGACATATTTATTACTGTGGTGTTTACCAAATTGTGATTTTCTATTTCTGTCATTCCTTCTACATTTATTGTGATACTACTGTAGGGAAGAGTTTATTTACTCATTTACTTATTATCAATTTGACCTGATCCTCTAGAGAGTATCAGTTAGATGCGATTTGTGAGTGAGAGTCAACATGGTGACCTTTGTACATCCATCTACCATGGTTCTGTTGGCATCCACCGATTTATGCCAGGGGTGCACAGCTTTCCAAGAAAAAGACTTGAAACTCTGTGAAAGCATATAAAACATGGTCTGATGGACTAGTGTGGTCCTCATGAGGGCACGAGTTTTGGAAAGAACAGTGTGGGACATAAGAGGAAGGAGCACCCTGTAAGAGAAGAAGGAGCCCAGCCTGGAAAGTTAGACCCAGAAATAGAGCATGGGCTTCAGATGGGGTGGAGATTTTAGATTATTGCTGTAGAATTTACCTCAACACAGACTTCTAGCAGTAGGTATGATCCTTGGCAAAAGTTGTTTAGCGTATTAATTAAAGGAACTGTGAGAGTAAATGGTCTAATACATTAGATCCACACAACCTTACTGTGGGACCCTGTACTGCTGCACCTGAGTGTCACCCAGATGGGGTATTGTCCTTTTCACTTTGTAAGGTCAACTGTTTGGATCTGTAGTCTCAAGGACATTTCAGTTCCAGCTTTACCAGCACAGCTGCAGGACTGTAGCTCATTGACACTAGATGTAGCTCTAGGCATTGTTGAGTTTCCACTCCACCAGGACCCAGGGATAGCCATGGGCTCAGGAGTTGTTTCAGTTCTGAGTGATGCTTCTATGGAACCACCTGCCACAGAGGATGTGTTCAGCTCACCAGAATGGGAAATAATGACAATGACGGGCTCATAGGCACATGTAATATCCCTGAAGTCTATAGCAAATTTATAGAAATAGGGACACTATTAAACATTGGATCTCTCAGAAAAAGGCCCTTGCCAGATGACAGCCCTTTGGCCTTGGACTTCCCAGCCCCCAGAACTGTGAGCCAATAAATTTCTGTTCATTATAATAATAATAAAAAACTGGATCTCTTACATGCAGTTGAGCAAGTAGGAGGGGGGGTACTATTGAGGCTTAGGCATTAATATTATGTTAAACAATTTTAAATTGGGAGACCATTAGGCTGGAGTGACTTCGAGCAGGTTAAGTTCCTACATAAGTAAACTGAAGCCCAGTATGAGTGTGAGTCACTCATATTGCTGGAAGAGTGTAAATGGGTGCAACCTCCAGACAATGCAATTTTGCAGCATCTGTGAAAATTTTAATTACATAAGCACCTTGGCCCAGAATTCCACTTGCAAGAATGTGTCCTACAGATATGCCTGTACCGATATGAAATTGTATATGCCATACATAATAAAAAGTTTGGAAAGAGCCTGAAAAAGTCTATCAGCTGGCTAAATGAGACTGGTTAAATAAATCATGATAGTCATACATGATGAGATGTCATACAACATTTTAAAACAGTGAGGAAGCTCTTTAAGTACTGTTGTGAAATAATCTCTAGGTATTTTAGGTGAAAAATTTCCAATGTAGTATGTTAACATTTGCAATAAAAAAAGAGGTTAAAAAGAATATATGTACATTTTTGCTTGTTGCAGGAGGGGATTTAGTGGCAGGAGGACAAAGTCAGAAGAGAAATTTTTCACAGTATATCTTCTTGAGCCATGTGACCATATGCTCTAATTTTTTTAACTATAAAATTTAAATTAAAAAAACCACAAAAATTCGACGCAAGAGCAGCAGCCACAGTGGCTGAAGATGAGAGGACTCCTGTGCCAGCCAAGGTGGAAGCAGAAATTACTCCCCAGTCTCCACTGACTACAGGAACAGGAGGGCCACACACCCATTTGGTGGCCATAACATTGAAAGCTGGGACAGCAGGACTGGTCTGGACCTGAGGCGTAAAAGACAACACTTGCAGCCAGCCCTGGTACTTGCATAGTGGCAAAATGTCCCAAGCTGGAGGAAATGGATAAGAATTGGGTACACATCACCCGTACTGGGAATAAACAAATGTGTTCTGATTATTTGGAAAAAGCAGACATTCTAGGGGTAGGGAGTTCTAAAGCCTTGGTGCACTTGAATGGATAAACTTCCCAGGAGCAGAGTTTTCCAAGCATGGCTCCCTGTGGTTCACCTCTACCAAGCTTAACCTACCTTCTGCTTAGGCAGAGCGAAGAGGCACCTCAGCATAACTCAGATCAAAATGGAAGCATCTCATTTCTTAAAAGCTGTCAAAGAATTGGTGTGAGGTTTAAAAACGTCTCTGAGCTTGATGGAAGGAAGGTAGGCGGTGATAGTTCATGCTCCCTTTCCTCCAGACACTTCTCATTTTCCTTTCTTAACCTGCTTTGATATTATGATTTCTTTTGCTTCATTTGTTAAGTTCTCTTACAACACTTCTTGTTCACAAGTGAGTGAAGAGCTGTTCTCTGCTTGTAACGTTGGAAATGGGGGAGTGTTTCAGAAATGACACAACAAAGCATTAAGCCATGAAACAAGAAGGGGAACTTCAGACAGAATTACAACAGTCATTTGAGAATCTCACTGAGAGCTAATAAAAGCCACACACACACAGAGGAGTGTTTTCCAGTTATTTTTTTGTCGTACTTTGTTGAGTTTCCTGCTTTCGGTTTTCCTAACTTAGCCACAGAAAGTGTAGGCATGAAAAACATATTGGCTGGATTACCTATAAGACTTCGCTTTTTAGAAAACAAGCAAACAAACTCAGATTTTGTCATACTAGCACCTAAGGCATAGTTCTTGCTTTTTTTCATTCTTACACACACACTCACACACACCACAAACACACACATACACATACACGCACACACGTATGTTTGTGTTTGGATAGATAGAGATATATGTCATAGACCATTAACTGCTAGGGATCTTATAGGTCATAAGTTGATGTCTTCATCTCACAGATTAGAAAATGGAGGATTAAACAAGTAAAATGAGTAGAATGACCCAGTTGAAATTTAAATCTAGATCTGGTAGCTCCAAGTGAAGGGCTCCTTCACTTGTGAAGCCCTGCCAATGGGCTTGTAAAGTCCCTCTCCTTTTAAGGAGCATTCCCTTGAACTTAGTACAGTATTGTGGTTTCTTGATGGTTCAGATAAGTCCTTGACATGGTATTCCTTTGGCAGGCACATGGGAACAGAATGGTGTAGCAGTTGCTATATTATCTTTAGCAGCATGTGACAAAAGAGCTGGTTTGGACATTCAAGCATTGATCTTTTTCCTAAATATCATTTACTCATGCAAGTAGAACCTGTGTTAGGTTCTGAGATGCAAAGATACTTAAAAGAATATTTACAGTAAGATCCCAGAGGGGGAGAGAGAGGAATGATTGAGCATTGGATATACACCAAAATACTTACCACAGTGGAATTAAAGGCTACTCTTTCCCATCTCCTTTTTTTTGTTGTTGTTAATCTTAAATGTCTACATTCTGTATAATGAACATTCATTGCTTTTAGAATTTAAAAACTTCGCCGGGCGCGGTGGCTCACGCCTGTAATCCCAGCACTTTGGGAGGCCGAGGTGGGCGGATCTTGAGGTCAGGAGATCGAAACCATCCTGGCTAACACGGTGAAACGCCATCTCTACAAAAAATACAAAAAATTAGCCAGGCGTGGTGGCGGGCGTCTGTAGTCCCAGCTACTCGGGAGGCTGAGGCAGGAGGAGAATGGCGTGAACCCGGGAGGTGGAGCTTGCAGTGAGCCGAGATCGCGCCACTGCACTCCAGCCTGGGCGACAGAGCGAGACTATGTTTCAAAAAAAAGAATTAAAAAAACTTATTTTTAATTTAAAAAATTGACGAAGACATGTTATGATTTAAATGTATTTGTCCCTTCAAAATTCGTATGTTGAAACTTAACCTCCAAGAGGATGGTATTTAAAGGTGGGACCTTTGGGAGATGATTAGATCCTTGGGAGGCCTGAAACCAGATGTCTGTATTTTTTGGTTACATCATTCAATAAATTCCACTTATGATTTAGGCCAGTTTGAATTGGGTTTTGTAATAGTGTGTCAAGATCCTGGCAGTACACAAATGGCACACTGAAATAACGTAACTGAGGAGATAGTGAAGGACCACACACACAGATGTAGGGATTAAGAGAAACCAATGAGAACTATCAATATCAGGGAGCCTTCTCATCCTTAGGCCTGAAAGGACAAAGGGAAAAACTGGTTTCCCAGAATCTACAACTTGGGAAGAGATGTAGCTGTAGCTTCAGGAGAGGGTTACTTGACAGGAGCTGTGGCCTCCATGAGGAAAGCAGCCCGGGAAAGCAGGAAGGGGACCAAGAAATCAACACTCCCTCTCCTGTTTCCTTGCACTCCTCAGACTCCTCTTGGTGGTTCCATTGGCTGACCTTGAGTGGAAGTTAGAGGGAAGGGAGCCATTTGAACAGTCTATTGAAGTCAGCCTCTTGGGCACTGAGCATGATGGAGAGGGTGAAGAGAGGATCTGGAGGGGCCATGGAGAACATTCATCATCCTGTGATACTAATAGACTCATGCATTGCTTAACAACAGGGATGTTGAGAAATGCCTTCTTGGGTGACTTCGTCATTATGTGCACACCATAGTATACTTACACAAACCTAGATGGTGTGGTCTACTACACACTTAGGCTGTGTGCTACAGCCTGTTGCTCCTAGGTCATAAACCTGTATAATATGTTACTGAACTAAATATTGTAGGCAGTTGTAACAGCAGTATTTGTGTATCTAAACACAGAAAAGGGACAGTAAAAGTACAGTATTATAGTTTTATGAGACTAACGTCTCATGCAGTCTGTCATTGACCAAAATATCATTAAGTGGTACGTGACCGTTTTTTGCAAAGTACCCTGGTATACTAAAAAACAGTTGATAAAGAATGACTGTAATGATCATTACAACAGAGTGATTACCTTAAATTATTAGATCACTCAATCCCACTTGTTGAGCATTCATTGTTTTGAGCACTTTGAAATAGTGCAAGGAATTTAGAAGTTATAGTTGCTCATCTCAAGGGGATAACAACCAAAAAGGGTATAATGAGATATTATAAATGAAAAACAACACTTTGGGAGGCCGAGGCGGGTGGATCATGAGGTCAGGAGATCGAGACCTTCCTGGCTAACAAGGTGAAACCCCGTCTCTACTAAAAATACAAAAAAATTAGCCGGGCGCGGTGGCGGGCGCCTGTAGTCCCAGCTACTCGGGAGGCTGAGGCAGGAGAATGGCGTGAACCCGGGAAGCGGAGCTTGCAGTGAGCCGAGATTGCGCCACTGCAGTCCGCAGTCCGGCCTGGGCGACAGAGCGAGACTCCGTCTCAAAAAAAAAAAAAAAAAAAAAAAAAGAAAAACAAGATTACGCAGCTAAAAAGATTTTAAAGATTCAGGCTTCAGGGGTGGACCAATCCATGTATTCAGCTCTCTTGGCCACAGTTATTGGGCACAAGAGTCAAAGGAGTCAATGAGACAGAGTGACTCCCAGGACTTTGAATCTATTAGAAGAGACATGTTCTTCCTTTCTACTGTGTGACTTGAGAATGTTAGGTCTGGACTGCACTGGGCATTTTACCATCCTGAGAGAAGGACCTCAAGCTGCTTGGAAGCTACTTCTATAGAACCTGAAGATGAAGTCAAAGGAAGGCAGCACAAAGAGAAAACTGGATCCTTGGTGACAGCATTTGAATCACTAGATTAACTCTTGCCTGAAGCCAGACATCTAGACTTTTTAATTACTAGGTCCAATATGTTTCCTTTATGATTTAAGTCAGTTTGAATTGGATTTTGTCATTTGCATTCTAGAACATCCTAATTAATACACCATCCAAAGAAACAAAGATAACTAAAACAAACTACCGTTTTTAAAGAAAAGATTTTAATGTTCATGGAAAGTGAATTTTCACACAAATTATTGCATTTCATAGCATCCACCCAGATTTAGTCACTTTTTTCATATACTAACAAATGTAGGGTTTTTTTTTTTTTTAAAAAAGCTCTTATTCTTTTTTTCTTAAAAAAATATTTATTTGTGTTTTTTGGGCCGGGCATGGTGGGTCACGCCTGTAATCCCAGCACTCTGGGAGGCCGAGACGGGCAGATCACGAGGTCAGGAGATTGAGACCATCCTGGCTAACACGGTGAAACCCCGTCTCTACTAAAAATACAAAAATTAGCCAGGCGTGTTGGCGGGCGCTTGTAGTCCCAGCTACTTGGGAGGCTGAGGCAGGAGAATGGCATGAACCCAGGAGGCAGAGCTTGCAGTGAGCCGAGATCGCACTACTGCACTCCAGCCTGGGGGGACAGAGCGGGACTCCCTCTCAAAAAAAAAAAAAAAAAAAAGAAAAAAATTTATTTGCGTTTTTTCCCTAGACTGCTAAGCAGAAAAAAGCTCTTATTCTTATCCATTATCCTAATTCTTAAAAACAAAGTCCTAATTTATGATTTCAGTATTTCAGTGACAGTAATCATAAGAAGTAACCTGATTAGACCATTCACTTTGCAAAATTCTCTGTAAGGGAAGCAGTACTTAGAATACCTAATGTGGATGTTGTTTGCCTGAAGAGTTGGTGGGTATAAATAAAGGCTGGTAAATAATGATTTTTTTAAATGCCTCTGGTATGAGAACAGTCATAAATCCTGGAATTAAGACATTTTCCCCATGACTTACACTCCCAGGACTAAAAATGTTGCCTTTTAGTCCTATTTAGAATTGTCTTTTGGATTTGCTGATAAACCCTCTCATGTCTGTATGACTTATACAATCAGATGTTGGCTGATGCATTCAGATCCCTGTGCTGTGAATATTTATTTATTTGCTTTCTCAATTAAATGAGTGGTTTTGGTGACAAACCACTGGTGTTAACACAAACAGCTAAGCTGATCATTTAGGAAAAGCTCAATATTAAAGGATTCTAAGTCCATTGTTAGGCTATGACAGTAACTCCAATCTCATTAACAATTAACCACTCGATCACCACCTAATTCATAAGAAAAAACTACCATGAATAAAAGTTCTTGACTGGGTGCAGTGGGCTCATGCCTATAATCCCAGAACTTTGGGAGGCCAAGGCGAGAGGATTACTTGAGCCCAGGGTTTTGAGACCAGCCTGGGTAACATGGGGAAACCCCTTCTCCACAAAAAAATGAAAAAATTAGCTGGGCCATGGTGGTGCATACCTGTGGTCCCAGCTACTTTTGAGGCTGAGGTGGGAGGTGGGAGGATTTCTTGAGCCTGGGAGGTGGAGCTTGCAGTGAGCGCCACTGCACTCCAGCCTGGGTGACAGAGTGAGACTCTGTGTAAAAAAAAACAAAAAACCACACACACACAAAACAAAAAAACACACACACACTTTCCTTCTGCTGTTTGGAAGGAAGCTATTTCTATTTATTCAGTGTTTGGGGACCTAAATATGTGTCTGAAAAGAAAATGTTGCTGTACTACAGGATGGTGATTGAAGTCCTGAAAATATCAGGAAACTGTTCTCATTTATTATTTGTCAAATAGCGCTTTCTGTAAACACTTGTAATCTCTGTTTTACAGGTGAAAGAAGACTGCAGCTGAGTTCTATTATCAAAGCAAAGTGCTGTACTGTACTTGAAATAACTCTAGCAAATACTGTGCTTCCTGCACAGAACCTGTTGGATTACTCACACAAATGTCAAAGAACAGGTTGACATTTTAGCAAGTTATCAGCCTGGCCCATATAAAAAAAGACATTTCTAGTTTTTACACTTTGCAGGGTTCAGAGAGCAGTTGAATGTTATTTTTAGTCTATGATCCAAAGCAGCTAATGACAGAGTCTACCTTAGAAGATAAACAGGCTTCTGATTTATAACACAAGGCTAATGGTAGATATTGTGTGATGTGTCCAGTTAAATTAACGAAATAGCTTTGCAACAGTGTGGAGTAAAGACTTAGGCTTAAAACAGAGAATTTGAGGATTGAGATAAGTCCAGAGAAGCAGCAGGATGGAGTGCAGATGCAAGAGAAAGGCTATGTCAATGCCATATTATAAATATAGCTCATAGACAGCATATCCTAGTGTGTGTCTGAAGAGGCCTGTGCCCTTGAGGAAAGGGGAGATTATGACCTTGTCCCCCAGTGTCATTTGCATAAATTCTTAGAGACCTTGGGGCAGTGAGTAGGAGACTGGTTGAGATGATTACTATAGGAAAATTGAATAACTTAAAGTATGGATATCTTACTGTTACAGGAAATGCTTAGGAGGTGAGGTACTCTGAATTTAGAATATGATGGCCTAAGGGATTCGGAGTCAAGAAGCAGGACATGGGATGAAGATACATCCACTGTCAAGCTGGTCATTACGACAGGGAGAAATAGCCCTCCACAGAGTGAGACTAGTGAGACTTGCAAGAATTGAATGATGGTCCCGTTGGACGAAACTCTTTAGGGTGAGTTTGCTTGTCTGGGAAAGACAGAACTCAGAGCCCTAATTGAGATGAACTGCAAGATGGGTTCAGCAGGAGAAAGTGGCTGGAAAGGGGGAGGGACCAGGAGCCAAATGGGTGACTATCTGCCAGGTGGTCTCCTGAGGGCACGCATCTTCCCTGGTGGTGTGACTAGAAAGAGGGAGTCCAAAGCACAGTCCCTTCTCCTCCACTTGGCACACATCAACACTTTCCTCTTTTCCTGTGAGCCAAGGTAGAAGGTCTGGTCCAGAATGGACGATATGGGTGGAGGGGTGAGTCAGTATTGTTTTTCATGTTGGTGGTTGGACTCAGTTTAAAAGATGGATGTCTTAGGGTAGTAGGTAGCATAGTTTTCCTAGCTTTGTTGTCACAGGTGATAGAAGCTGGACCATAAGTTAGGGTCACAGCTCCCTTGATTCTCCTTCTTCTTTGTTCTCCTTCCTCTTTCACAACTCTCTCTCCTAGGTACTTTTAGTCAGGCTGCAGATGGAATTCTGGGCGTTTGCTCCAGAGAGAATTTTCCTAGGTAGCTTTTGCGTTAAACAGACTTCATTATACATTTTGCTTTGCATGGGGCCTCTCTCTCCTGACACAGATACATGGGCCCCTTGTAGCCCACAGCCCCCAGTGTCACACATTAGTGGCACAGGCTTGGTTTTGACATTGGTTCAAGGTACCCAGTGAAGAGCACTTTCTGTAAGAACAGTTCAATGGCAGGACCCATAATGGTTATGAGCACGGAGGCCTCCAGTGCAGGAGCATCCGCAGTGGTTGCTGATCCCCAGAAGGGAGACGTACTCTCTTTCTTTTTGTGTTTCCAAAGGCAAAGGCATACTCTTAGGAGGCAGACAGAAAGATGTACAGTTAAGAAGTGGGGTTTTTAGGTTCTGTTAACAGCTGGTTTATTACCTTTTTTGGAACTTTCTCACCCTTTCTGCAGTGAAATAGGCTATTTCTCTATGTAGGAGTACACCTGTGGGGAAAAAAATGTGTGGAAACCTAGCTATTCCCCAAAAAGGAGCACAAAAAGAAGGACATCTGAGATTGCTGAATACTTTTCAGATGACAAAGAACTTAGAATGTTGAGAGGGGACTTACAGGGAATGGGCTGATAAAAGACTTGAGTGTCATCTAGTATTTACCCCTTTCTCCTCCAACTTGAGTTAGCTAAATACACACACACACACACACACACACACACACACACACACGAATATACCTGCTTATAATAAACGCTCTAATCAACAAATCTACTGGATCATAAGCTCTGCCAAGGTAGCGCCTGTGGTGTTCCCTTTTTATCCTTAGCCTGTAGCACCAGGCCTGGCACATAGATTCTTGGTAAATATCTACTGAGTGAATGAATTGTTGAACAGCTCGTAATGAAGAACTGATTCTGAGAATCTGTGGAATACTTCAAAAGAGAATGAATACAATGCATATATTAAAAGAGGAGGCAGTCTGCAGCCACTGCCACCTCCGCCACCGCCAGCTGTGCGGGTGAGCATCCCCAGGCAGCACGTTGGAAGTTGTTTTCAACCATATCCAGCCCTTGCCAAATACATCCTGTTTGTCACACATCCAAAGTGAGGTCCCTCCAGCTATAAGGTGGGCACCATGGCAGAGAAGTTTTTGACTGTCTCTACTGCAGGGACCCCTTGCAGAGGAAAAAGTATGTGCAGAAGGGTGACCACCACTGCTGCCTGAAATGCTTTGACAGGTTCTGTGCCAACACCTGCGTGGAATGCTGCAAGCCCATCCATGTGGACTCCAAGGAGGTGCACTATAAAAACTGCTCCTGGCATGACCCCTGCTTCCACTGTGCCAAGTGCCTTCACCCCTTGCCAATGAGACCTTTGTGGCCAAGGACAACAAGATCCTGTGCAACAAGTTTGCCACTCAGGAGGACTCTCCCAAGTGTAAGGGGTGCTTCAAGGCCTTTGTGGCAGGAGATCAAAAATGGAGTACAAGGGGACCATCTCGCACAAAGACCGCTTCACCTGTAGCAACTGCAAGCAAGTCATGGGGACTGGAAGCTTCTTCTCTAAAGGGAAGGACTTCTACTGTGTGACTTGCCATGAGACCAAGTTTGCTAAGCATTGTGTGAAGTGCAACAAGGCCATCGCATCTTGGGGAGTCACTTACTAGGATGAGCCCTGGCATGCCGAGGGCTTTGTATGTGTTACCTGCTCTAAGAAGCTGGCTGTGCAGCATTTCACCACTGTGGAGGACCAGTAATACTGTGTGGATTGCTACAAGAACTTTGTGGCCAAGAAGTGTGCTGGATGCAAGCACCCCATCACTGGGTTTGGTAAAGGCTCCAGTGTGGTGGCCTATGAAGGACAATCCTGGCACGACTGCTGCTTCCACTGCAAAAAATGCTCTGTGAATCTGGCCAACAAGCACTTTGTTTTCCACGAGGAGCAAGTATATTGCCCTGACTGTGCCAAAAAGTTGTAAACTGACAGGGGCTCCTGCCCTGTAAAATGGAATTTGAATTTTGCTCTTTGTGTCCTTACTCTCTGCCCTATACCATCAATGGGGAAGAGTGGTCTTTCCCCTCTTTAAAGGTCTCCTGTCTTTTCTCCCGTTTTACAGTATTACTCAAATAAGGGCACACAGTGATCATATTAGGATTTAGCAAAAAGCAACCCTGCAGCAAAGTGAATTTCTGTCCAGCTGCAACTGAAAAACGAAAATTTAAGTAGATTGACTCTTCTGCATGTTTCTCACAGAGCAGAAAAGTGCTAGTCATTTAGCCACTTAGTGATGTAAGCAAGAAGCATATGAGATAAAGCCCCCACTGAGATGCCTCTTGCGGCTCAGCTGGGACCTACCGTGTAGTCACGCGACATGCAAGAGTTGTAGTGGCTGCTTCAACTCGCTGCTCACCCTCTTCTGTGAGCAGGAAAAGAACTTACTGACGTGCATGATTTAACTTCCTCATCAAAACTCTGACCTTCCTTCTGTTATTTTGTGCTTTCAAATGACTAATATGCACTTCCAGAAAATTAACATTTGAACTTAGCTGTAATTCTAAACTGACCTTTCCCCATACTAATGTTTGATTTCCCCATGTGGCATGTTTTCTGAGTGTTCCTACCTTAAAGCATGGAACATGCAGGTGATTTGGGAAGTGTAGGCAGATCTGAGAAAACGAGCCTGTTTCAGAGGAACATTGTCACAGCAAATACTTCTGGAAACTTAACAAAACCAACCCTGATGTCCTTTTTATTGTTTTTAATTAGGAATATTTTTGTTTTAATTGATAGCAAAATAGTTTATAGGTTTGGAAACATCCATGAAAATATTCTATTTATTTTATTTTATTATTATTATTATTTTTTGAGACGGAGCCTTGCTCTGTCGCCCAGGCTGCAGTGCAGTGGCGCATTCTCAGCTCACTGCAACCTTCGCCTCCCAGGTTCAAGCAATACTCCTGTCTCAGCCTCCTGAGTAGCTGGGACTACAGGCATGCGCCACCACACCCAGTTAATTTTTGAATTTTTAGTAGAGATGGGGTTTCAACATATTGGTCAGGCTGGTCTTGAACTCCTGACCTCAGGTGATCCACCCACCTAGGCCTCCCAAAATGTTGGCATTACAGGCGTGAGCCGCCATGCCTGGCCTGCATGAAAATATTCTAGCCCTTTCAGATGTTCCTGTAGTGTTGAAATTCATCCTATGGAAGTAACTGCAAAACTCTATAGGGGGAGTTGAGCAGGTGCCAGGACTGTCATCAACATGGATATGACAGTACAGAGCAGTGGTGAGTTGAATCCCTTGTAACGCAGTTGTCTGCTCTTTGTCCATGTGTTAATGAGGGCTGCAAAGTCCCTCCTATAGCGATTCCTAGGAATTTTCCTCAAGAGGAAATGCGGATTTCCACCTACCACTTACCTGAAATACAGGATCACCTACTTACTGTATTCTACATTATTTTATGATATAATGAGACAATATCAAAAGTAAACATGTAATGACTATGTGTACTAACATTCTTGTAGGAGTGGTTAGAGAAGCTGATGTCTCATTTCTACATTCTGTCATTAGCTGTTATCGTCTAATGTTTCAGTGTATCCTTATGGAAATAAAGCAGCATATGAATTTAAAAAAAGAGGAGGATTAGTCCAGGAACTACAGAATGATTAACTTACTTTTATACTGTAAAAAAGTTAGTATCCCCATGATGTTTCTCCAAAATAGTTTGAAAATAATTAGAAGAATTATAAATTATAGTGTGTCTCTCCTCTCTTACCAAGGACTAAGGGCTAAAGTATCGACATACCTCATTTTACTGTGCTTTGCAGATATGGCATGTTTTACAAATGGAAGGTTTGTGGGAACCCTGAGTTGAGTAAATCTATTGGCGTTGTTTTCCCAACAGCATGTGCTCACTTTGTTAGCTTTTTCTTAAGCAATAAGATGTTTTTAAATTAAGGTAAGTACATTTCAAGAGACATAATACTATTGTACACTTAAACTATGGTATAGTGTAAACATAACTGTTATATGCACTGGGAAACCAGAAAATTCCTTTATTGCAGTGGTCTGGAACTGAATCTCAGATATCTCTGAGGTATGCCTGTATATTAAAAAGTGGTAAGATTTTTTTTTTTACAGTAACCAAGTGTTTTATGCTTTTGTTTTGTTTGATGAGAATAACTTCTAGCACTATGAAACAAATAGCTATTTAATTCAACAATCAGTTTAATAAACTTTTTGTAATCCCAGCTAGCAAAATAAAGTCACCTCTTAGGAAATGAGCCAAAGAGGAAGGTAAACTATTTTAGAAACGTAGTTTAAAATGTATATGTAGTGACAGAGCGAGACTCTGTCTCAAAAAAAAAAGTATATGTAGTTAAAAAATCTAAAAGCATCCATATTTTTTCAAAATGGCATTCAATGATGTTCAAGTAAACTATTTCCTTTACTCAGGAGATGAGTTTCTCACACCTGCACAATGACATCCTGTGGCTATTATCAGACATATCGGAGACCTTGGACCTTGTGTTGATTTATGTAGAGGATTCCCTTTCCAGAGGATATGCTGGATAAGTACAGCAAATTGACTGCAACGCTCTATAAAACAGATCTTTCATATATCTGTAATAAAATAACAGTGTACATATTTACCATAATGAGAAACTGCATTTGCTTGAAGTATAATACATTTTTAGTGTTAGTGGGCAGAGTAAAATATTCCATATATTTTAAATAACTAATGGAAACAATTTAATGGAATTTAAAAAATTTCATGTATTTAAAAATATAGTGTTTTTTTTTTTTTTTGAGACAGAGTCTTGCTCTGTTGCCCAGGCTGGAGTGCAGTGGCACAATCTTGGCTCACTGCAACCTCCACCTCCCAGGTTCAAGTGATTCTCCTGCCTCAGCCTCCTGAGTAGCTGGGATTACAGGCGTAAGCCACCACGCCCAGCCCTATACTCTTTTTTAAACATTGGTATCCACACTTATTCTATAACTCTTATAGCTATATGTTGGCTGTTTAGTAAACAGATTTTTTAAAACTTTTATTATGGAAAACCTCAAATATATACAAAAGTAGAGTGAATAGAATAGTGAACCTCATGTAGTCAAAACCCAGCTTCAATAAGTATCAACTCATGACTGAACTTATTTCACCCATAGTCCCAGTGATCTACCTACACCCTACCCACTCAACAGATTTTTGGAAGCAAATCCTTGTCATGATATTACTGGGAGAAATACTCTTTTTTGGGACTCTTGTTTCTATACATCTTGCTGGGTGGACCAAGAGACTGCAAGGCTCTAACTATTCTTTTACCAGAACCATTTCTCAAGGTTGATTATGTAGCTGGTAACCTTAAAAAATGGGTAATCCTTCCTTCCACACCCATCATCACCCCTGAACAAAGAGCAGGCTTGCTTACTGCTTGCTATAAAATTGGTCGTTTCCCCAAGTTGTGATCCTCAGCTGTGAAGCAAACCTACTGTATGGGCAGGTAGCCTCTGGGCCCCTCTGTATTGCTCTTGTAGCACCTAGGGGCAAAAGGAACCAATACACATATGCTGATGTTCATGCTGCTACTGTGTCATGAGTAATAAAGTTCTTTGTCTCTGACCCAAGAGGCTCATGTGTTCTGCCAGTCTCCATAAAATAATAGCAGGATAATTTATTAGGTTGGAGGCAGGATCAAATCTAATCCCAGATACCATATATCATTTTATCTGTACATATTTCAGTATATATTTTTAAAAAATAAGAAGTCTTTTAAAAAAGCTCACAATACTATATTTTTAACAAATAACAGTAATTTTTAATATCATTGAATATCCCAAATTGTGTTCAGATTTCCCTAATTGTTTCATTTTTTACAATGTATTTGAAAAAGGATTTAAATAAGTTTCATGATTATATTGGGTGATTTGAATTCAAAAAATTTTATTTTAGTAAAAAATATATAAAATTTGTAATTTTAACATACAAGTTGGTGGTATTAATTATATTCAGAATTTTGTGCAACCATCACCACTATTTCCAAAACTTTTACATCTGGGTTATTTGAATCTTAAGTATCTTTCTTTTAATCTACAGGTTTTCCTTTTCCCATTCCCTTGCATTTATTTGTTGGAGAAAATCAGGTCATTTCTACTATAGTTCCCCATAATTTGGATATTTACTATTTTTATAACTGCAGTGATGTTTAACATGTTCCTTTGTTCCCTGTATTTCCTGTAAATTGGTTTTTGGATCTAGAGGTTTATTTCGACTCAGGTTAATTTTTTTTTTTAATAAGACTTTCATTCATATGGGGTTTCATGGATTTCCATCAGATGGCACATGATGTCTGGTTATTTCTCTTTTCGAGATGTTAGCAGCCATTTATGACTACTGCCTAGATTGCTTATGTTTTAGGGGTGCATAATGGTGATATTCAAATTCTATTATTTCTCCTTAATAGCTATAATACTTCCCTAAAGGAAACAGCTGCATAGTACTCCATTGCCTGGATATTTACTCAATCAGTCTAAACATATTTCATAAGTCATAATTCCCTATTTATCAAACATAATTTTATTGTGATGGTTTTCCAACAAGAGAGAAGTTGTCATTGTTGTTGCTTTGTTTTTTATTCATAAAGAGTACAGAGTATGCTTCAAGCCTCAAGTGGCATTTCAGAAAAAGTTAAAAACTATTTCTAGATGATAATGTAAATAAAAATCCTCACCCTCCAAAATAATCTGTTCATAAAGTGTCCCTTTTGTTAAAACGTACCCAGGAGTCTTTAGAAGAAGACAATCTTGGTAGAAGGTAATCTTGGTAGGGACAAGCAATTTCAGTTTTATTCTCTTACAATGAAGAGTACTGAGAGCTGGGGAGGGCCTCCTTTACATGTGTTCTTCTGGTTCTTTTTTAAATGCATGGACCTAAAATTAAGCACAGTGGTTTTTTCTGGTGATAGTACATGCCAAGATGGCATATCGGAACATTTTCCTTAGAGCAACATTGAGATACATCTGTGCAAATCAATCAATTACCAACTCAATGGACTTATTTAGCAGCAATACGAAACTCAAAAGTCATCATAGTGATTGAACCTCATTATCACTTTGCCATTAAAAATATTAAGCATTTCTTTTTATCCCTCACCACAGCATCTGTAACTCACACCTGGCATTTTGTGAAACTTCTGTTTGCTGGGTAGTATAGCAGGTGAAATGTCACGTGACCAAACAGTTCTTCGGTACACTGAGCATCAGATGAATAAAAAGAGGGAAAGAGGAAGTGAAGCATTTTTCAAGTTATTTTTAGTAAAAATCTTGCCACTCGTTATTCATTGGCTTATTGCCATCTTAAATAACTTAAAAAAGACATATTTTTGAAATATGGGAGGATTTTCTGTCTGTCCCTGTCTCTCTTTCAGCAAAGGGACCAAGAGAGTAAAGTAACAATTCACAAATACATGTGATGGTTTCATACAGTTTTTGTCAGAAGAAAAACCTGTTGTCTTAGTAAAAATGAAAGAAATGGAAGCTTAACTAAATTAGGCTTATAGGAAAATGATTTCAAAAGCCCACCTTCCAAATCAAAAAGTGAATGTGGGTAGCATGCAATTTGTGTTTACTAAATGCAACTTAATTTGTTTGTTTTAGTACTCCATTATTGTGAAATAAATTACTTCAAAACTTAGTGGCTGAAAACAACACACATTTATTATCTTACAGTTTCTGTGGGTCAGAAATCCAGAGTGGCTTAGCTGGGGGCCTCTGGCTGAGGGTCTCTCATGAGCTGCCATCAAGCTGTGGGCTGGAGCTGAGGCACCTTCAAGTTTCCTTACATGGCTGTTGGCAGCGTCAGAAGATCCATTTCCAAGTTAATGTGGGGCTCTCCACAGGGCTGCCTGGAGACAAAGAATCTGGCTTCCCCAAGAGTGAGAAATCCAGAGAGAGAGAGAGAGCGAGCACCCAAGACAGAAGCCACAAAAGTGACATCCCATCTATCACGCCTTCTGTATTCTGTTCATTAGAAAAGCCTCAATACCCCCAGCCCGCCCTCAAGCGGAGTAGATCACACAAGGGCTTGGGATACCAGGATGCAGGGATCCTTGTGGGCCATCTCAGAGGCTGCTTTCTAGAGTTTGCTCATGTTAAATGTAAATTTTTTAAATAGAAAATATATTCTCATGGTTAAAAATTCAAAATGTTCAAGAATGTATATGGTAAGAAGACTTCATATCCTGTTAGCCAATCCCCTCCTTGAGCAAACTGTCATCATTTTCTTGTTTATCCTTTCAGAGACATTCTGTTAAACATCAAGTTGAAAATGTGGGATTCCACAGGGTGTGAGCAGAGAGCACTCCACCTTGCCAGCTCAAACCTGCTTTGCAGAGATAACTTCCCCACCCCTTGGATGAAATCTCAAGTGGATACTATGACTTTTCACCTCCCTCTCAGATAAAAAGCAGTCCTCCAGTCACTTTCAGTCATAACATAGTTGTATTTCAGAAATAAAATACCTAGTCATGAATAATATTCAAACTCGATTTTTTTTTTTTTTTTTGAGACAGAGTCCTGCTCTGTCACCCAGGCTGGAGTGCAGTGGCACGATCTCAGCTCACTGTAGCCTCCGCTTCCCAGGTTCAAGCAATTCTCCTGCTTCAGCCTCCCGAGTAGCTGGGACTACATTCGCGCACCACCAGGCCTAGCTAATTTTTTTTTGTATTTTTAGTAGAGACGGGGTTTCACCATGTTGGCCAAGCTGGTCTTAATCTCCTGACCTCATGATCCGCCCGCCTCAGACTCCCAAAGTGTTGGGATTACAGCCGTGAGCCACCGCGCCTGGCCAAAACTCGAAAATTTAAGGTTAAAGCTTCTCACCTTCCCTAGCTTGGGCCTGCTTCACGCTGGAAATCTGGAATGAGAAGAGATGGAGTCGTGGTCAGCTTCTCCATTTCTGTTCTGTACTTCTGCCCGTTCTCTTCTGCCTCTCTGTGGTTTCATTGGGTTGCCTTTATCTCTTTCAGGGTTTGGGAATGGAAAATGAGTGAAAAAAGGGAGGGAGCTCTTTTTTCAGTTTCAGCTCTTTTGGTTTCTTCAGAGATTTCTTCATGGAAACATCCATCTGCAGCTTTCTTGATGTTTGTAAATCTCCCCTTCATTAGCATTTGCTCCTAAGGATGCGTCTCCAGTCATTTGGTGCTGGGGTCATTCAGCCCTGGCAGGGAAGCCCCTTGGGCAAGTCTCCTCCATGAAAGCCCCAGAAAGGCTGACTTTCTCTTCTCATTCTCCATCCAGTACTGGGAAATCCTCACACATCCTTTGTAATATCCTAGGCTCTTTGGAAAACTGGCTAAGACTATTCTTCCTCCTTGAGGGCTTTTAGTTTCTCATACTACCTCGCTCAATTCCTTTAGGAATTATTGTATCCTGGGGACAAAAAATGTTCATTGTATCACTCCAGGAATTAGGATCCAGAAGAGGGGATGTATCTGCTGGTTGATCAAATGCTTGTCTTATAGGAAATGAAAGAGTTTTCTTGTAGAACATACTTCCCACATGCTGAGATACCTTTTAAGACAAAATAATTATAGTAATCAATTCTATGAATTTTTTTCATTAACTCAGCATTAAACACACATCACAGAGAGGCTGAGGTAATTTCAGGCATGGAGCATCTATTAACATATAGTTGTGGGGGTCACAATTGTAGGATGTGGTGGGCTTTTTCTTTCTCTCAGAATTATAGTGTTTACAGATGTAAAACAGGGTATCAAGGTGGCTCTAACCAGGGGCAGCTGAGCAATAGTGGAATTACTGAGGGGGAGAAAAGTAGATGGTGAGGTCAGGACGGTAATGGTGGTGGCATGTTAGGAGGAGCACAAATGACATAGGTCTTTGGCTTTGGCTCTGAAGGCAATGGGGAGCTATTGTAGAATCTTGAGCAGAAGACTGACACAATCCATCTTACATATTAAAAGGACCACTTTTACTGTTTTGTGAATCAACTCTGGGTGGGCAAGGGCAGAAGCAGGGAGAGCAGTTAGAAGGCCAATGCATGATTTCTGAAAGATTTAGAACCAGAAATACCATTTGACCCAGCAATCCCATTACTGGCTATTTACCCAAAGGAATATAAATCATTCTATTACAAAGATAAATGCACACATATGTTCATTGCAGCACTATTCACAATAGCAAAGACATGGAATCAACCCAAATGCCCATCAGTGATAGACTGGATAAAGAAAATGTGGTACATATACACCATGGAATACTATGCAGCCATAAAAAGGAACGAGATCATGTCCTTTGCAGGGACATGGATGGAGCTGGAAGCCATTATCCTCAGCAAACTAATGCAGGAACAGAAAACCAAACACCGCATGTTCTCACTTATAAGTGGGAGCTGAATAATGAGAACACATGGACATAGGGAGGGGAACAACACACACTGAGGCCTGTCAGGGGTTGGGATGGGGGGAGGGAGAGCATCAGGATAAATAGCTAATGCATGCTGGGCTTAATACCTAGGTGATGGGTTGATAGGTGCAGCAAACCACCATGGCACATGTTTACCTGTGCAACAAACCTGCACATGTACCCCATAACTTAAAATAAAAATTAAAATTAAAAAAAAAGAAGGCCAATACAGTCATCCAATGAGAGATGATGGTGCCTGAGACCAGGATGGAGTGGTGGAGGTAGTGAGAAGTGGCGTGCTGGGGTTGGCTAACTCACAAGAGCCAATTATTCAATGTTTAGGAAGTTTGCAAGCCAGTTGTTAAATACATCATTATTAAAAATTAAGTCAAAGCATCATATTAAATAAATTATGTACAACAAAAGTAATATATGCTTAAGGCTCATCACTTTTTAATTGTTTTTACCTAATTATTTTACTATTATTATTACTTCTGCTCTTGACGTTATTCACACCTATTATATTTGAGATTGTATCTGGTAGAAATACTCTAAAGTGGGGTGCTGCTATGCATCTTTTCCCATTTCAGGATAGTCACCCCCAAGTGTCATGGGCCCGGAGCGAGGAGGGCAGCACTCCCGAGTGGGATGATGATTTCTCGGAGGATGACAGTATTCAGTGACATTAGGAGTTTCTCAGCCACGGTGGGAGTAATTTACACCACAGAAATTGGAGATATTACAAATTGGGGCTCATTTTTTTTCAAAGAGAACTACTTGTTAAACATTTACCAGTGCATCCTTGCTTATCATCTTCCCAGTTATATCTAGGAATGTGTACCACCATCCCATCCAATGTTTTCAGGGTCCCTCACTTCTATTATGTCCTCAACCACAGAGGGAAAGCAATAAAGAAGTTAAATAAGTATTATTTATATTACAACAAGATAAAAGTAACATATTTGTATTAAGCTTTGTGCCATTAATACATAATTAGTTATATAAAATCACCATACCTGTGACTGAATTTTTAGTGCCGGCCCTAGCTTTAATCCCATAGTGCCTCGAAGATGCTCTTCTGTGAGTAATGGCAAAGTTTCTCCATCAATTGCATGATCTTTAAATACCTTCATAAATACAAAAGGTGTTAACTCTGTCTGAATGTCTTTTTTTGAAAAAGTTCTTTTACCACCTAGATATTTTAGTTTTGGAGAAAACATTAAGACTGCTTGAGGATGACAAAAAAATTTGTAAAACCTTTTTTTAGTTGCTCTCTTTTCTGTGCTCAGTAGCATATTGCTTGTGCTCTTTAATAACCTTTGTAATCGACTGTAATTCTCTGTTTATAGAACTCAATTCCAACCAGGAATAGTGATTATTTGAGGGCCAGGTCAGTGTTTTTTTGACCAATGTACCCCTAATACAGAGGCTGGCATATGGTAAGAAGATGTACAATAAATATTGCTGGATAAATGAATGAATGAGTAAATGCTGTAAGTAAAGGGATGTGGGTAAAACCTGTTATGGATAAATTTCATGTCTCACATTTACAGATGTGGTATCTGCTGGCCATGCCTTAGATGCTTGGTAAAGGGAGGGGAGGGAAATGCTGCTGAGAACTTTCCCTACCGGACCTTTCCAGCAGGTCTGTTAGTCCTGAAACTGTAGTGGACGTGGCGTGCCTTCCTTTCTCTGAAAGCCAGGAAGGCTGCTGGTGGACAAAGATTCCAGGCAGATAGAGGGATACAAAATCTAGGCAGATTGATAGGACCGTAATTTCATGATCTTCAACTTCAACTTGCCTGGAAATCCTTCTATATTCACAGTTGAGCTTTCTCTCCCTTCTATTTCAAGCTATCTCCACCCTCCTCAAACTTTAGACTTTGTAGGCAGAGCCTTCCCTCATTTTCAGTAGATCATAGCGCTTCCTAACTAAAAAAACAAAACAAAACAAAACAAAACAAAAAACAGAAAACAAAAACCAGTAGATAAGAACTCCCTCTAATTCTGACCAATGAACCAAAAACCTTTATTTTCTCCCACTGTCACGATACAATGGAAGAGAGGTCTCTCCACCATTTAAAGACGATCTCTCCACATATACTGTGGGTCCTCATGCCTCCCACTTCCAGAGAGGATAGATAATTCCCTCTTTTCTCTTCAGTCTCTCCTCTTCTGCTGGCTCTTTCCCATTGGGATTTAAATAAGTCTCCACCATCATTAAACAAACAAAAATAATGAAAATACTCAAACTCCATTTCCAAATGCTGCCTCATGTCTCTCACTCCCTTCACAGCTAGATTTCTCCAAAGGGTTTCGATGCTCCCTGCTTTCACGTTCTAATTTCCCAGTCATTCTGCAGTCTCAGGGAATCTGAGCTCTGCCCCGACCATTCCATTAAGCCGGCTTTCCTCAGGCTTCCGGGTGCCTCTGTCCCACCAAACATGCAGACATTTTGCAGTTGTTCTATTTCTGAAGTTGCTGGCTGCATCTGACATTGTTGACTGTGCCTTCATGAACAGTGCTTGCTCTTCCTTTCTGTCATGAGGCTGCTCCCTCCTGGGTACCCCTGTTCTCTCCTTCAAGGTCACCTTTGCCAGCTCCTGTTTCTTTGTCCATTTTTATAGGTTAGGGTTTCTTAGGCTTCTGACTCAGGTCCCTTTGGTCTTCCTGATTCATTTCAGCTTTGCTCAGCTTCAATGATGGGCTGTATATGCTGAAGGCTCCCTAACATGTATCTTTAACTCAGAAGCTAAATCGTGCCAGTTTGGCCTCTTACATAGTTTTCATTGTGCTGTGACTGGGCAGCACTGAGTTCCAATGCAGAGTCCCACAATTACCGTGTCCCCCACCCACAAAAGCACAGATTCTGTCCCCATACCATGTGGTCACTTCTGGGGGACGGCAGAGGGATGGTGTGGGCAATTCCAGACTATCTTTCCTACCCCCTTCAGTGCCTCTTTCAGTGACATGAAGTTAAAACCAGGTACTGTGATTGATCATCTGATTTTTTGTTCTTATGAAGGTGGTTTTTTTTTGTGAGGATTGTTGCTCCATGTGGTGTTCCGGAAGGGAGGACCATCGGTGGAGGCTTCTTTTTGGCCATCTTGCCCTGCCTCCTCTAGGTTGTGTTCTTATCCTCCTGCCCCCACTGCTCCCACCCTGGATAGAACTCCATCATTGCTTATCTGAATAGGCTTCCCCTCTGTCTTGTCCTCTTCAACTTATTTTCATAAAAGCAACCTGAGTGATCTTTCTGCAATATAAAGCTAACCATGCCGCTCCCTACTTAAAACCTGACTGCCTCCAGGATAAAGCCACAATCCTTCACTGGGTCTTCTGGGCTCTGTGACCTGGCCCTGTCCACCTCTCCAGTCTCATCTTGCTCTCCCCACCTCTCCCACCTTGGCCCTGGCCCTCTGTAGCACTGGGAACTACTCTCAAAGTCCCAACCATATTAAAGTTTTCTCTGGCTCTGGCCCTCACCTGGAAATTCCTCCTTTATCTCCCTCCTGCCTCACCTCTCCTCTTGACTTTCAGGTCTCACTTTAGAGGCCTCTTCCTTTAGGAGGCCAAGAGTCCCTCATATGTGTTCCCACCATGCTCTGTACCCGCCTTTCACAACGTGCTCGTATGGATGTGGGATCACTCACTGGTGCCCCTCTTCTGGACTATGAGTGCCATGAGAAGAGGAACCACATTGGTCTTGTTTCCACTCTGTGCTCCATGCCTCACAGGGCATGACTCAGGACCAGCTAAAAAGTAGAATCTTCTTGGAAAGCTCCTGTACTGGGAACCTTGTGTTCTAATAGATTTTAGTCATGAATGTATACATATATTTTTCCACAATATGCACCGGTGTGGAGAAAGGACTGAAATGTTCCACTCAAAACACACACTCCAGAGCCAATCCCAGTATTCATCTATGAAAATGTCTGATTGTCCTTTGGCCTGGGAATTAAGACTGACCAACTATGATGCCTATTGCTAGAATGGGCAATTGCTGAGGAATTCAGAAGGTGATTCAGCAGGAACATCTCCATGCTCAGAAACTTGTGGTCTTTGCTTTAGTTTCTACTACAGAAAACACCAAAGACATCCAAGGCCACCCTGTCCCCTGTCACCAGAACTTGCTGCTGGCCATTTCCAATCCATTTCATACCATTTGGAATTGATTGTGCTGCTTCTCTATCTTTGTAAAAAGAAGTTTCACTTATTTTTTATTGAGAGTTACAAGTGGGAGAAAGGCATTGTGTCTTCTACCATACAGTGTCCATCCCAAACTGGTCAGTGCACTGCTCCACGGTGGCCAGGACACTCAGGAGCCACTGGTCCATGGCGTCCAGACGAGGATCAGAGAGCACTGGGGAGAGGGGGTCATGGGCCATGGCAGATTTTAAGGTAGACTTCAGCACACCATTCTTTAGGTAGTTCCGTCTGTTCCAGGTAGACACCTGAGTGATGCCACACTGATAGAGGGGGGGAAAGAATGCTTCTTTCATCCAGCAAGGGGTTCCCAAAGCTTTTGTTGTTATCAAGAAGGATGAGCATACTGGCGCCCTCATTATCTTGAAAGTTCTTATAGTAATGGCAGTCAGCATTGTCAATCAGGTAATCAAAGACAGCTGTGTTAATGGTGTCCAGGCGGCACAGGCCAGAGTCATAAAGGGACGTTTTCTTCACAGCCTCACAGTAGCGCTCATCATACTCCCACCTGGCCAATTTGCCTTTTCAGTAAGTCCTGGCCCACGGGTGTCAGTGTTTCTGGAGAGGCCACACATCTGGAAGCCAAAGTGTGACAGATTTTTCCATTGTGTCTCCATCGGCACAAGCTGATTCTGTTTCTCGGTAGTAATAACACTTCCCATAAAAACAAGTATTGTGTCCTACAGTTAGGAAGGGGCTCAACAGCTGCTCCATGGTAACAGGCTTGATCTCTGTCTGAAGATGAACGGATCTGCCCACCATCAGCAGGGCTCTGGGACACCCACAATCCTGTCCAAGTGAAAGGCTGCTACCTCCGCATTGTGTCTATCATAACCGGCATATGGTTCCCTTCCACTACATAGTCTCGGCTATACTACTTAGGTTCGAAAACAACTTTCTGTTCCCTTTCAAGGATCAGTAAGGCTTTCAGCTGTGTCCCTTTATAACCCACATCAGCTTTAATAATTTGCTTGGTGGCCATGGCATGCATGATTGCCCCCAGCTCTGGTGTCTCTTCACAGTACACTTCCTGGGGAACCACCCACTGGGCTGCAGTCTCCTAGGAAGACTGCAACGTGTGGTCCAACTTGGGTGACAGCTCCATCCACAAGCCAGTCATCATTCGGTGAAAAGCCCTCAGGGGATCAAGTAGTGAAACGCTGCTTGGCAGTTGATGTATCTAAGTTGTCAATCAGGAAAACTTTGGTGAAGATAAAGATGACAGGAATTGCTAACAGCATGACTCGCTGCTTTAGCTTCATGTTGACCTCTTTTCTTCTCCCCTGACCCACTCACTCTCTGGCTCACTTATCAAGGAGAGGCAGTGGTAATGGTTAGTAAGGAGATTCCATCATTACACACATTGGTCCATTTGTGGATGCACCTTCCACAGTTCCCGTTGCGTCCTAGACTCGCTCGTGGCTACCCATGCAGTGCAATGCAGCATGGCCCCCGAGGAGGGGCAGCCCCAGGCTGTGCTTATCACCCCAGCCACTGCCACCACCACTGCAGCTCCCACCATTCCCTGGCCACCTCTCTCAGCGCTGAGCCAGCCGTCCCCCAACAAACTGCATTAAGTAATTATTTCTTTTCCTATTTTAATTAAGCAAATTATAGAAAATGGCTAATATAAATTAAAGAGCCAGGTGCGGTGGCTCACATCTGTAATCTCAGTTACTTGGGAGGCTAAGGCTGGAGGATCACTTGAGCCCAGGAGTTTGAGACAAGTCTGGGCAACATAGTAGACCCCCATCTCTTTAAAAAAAATTAGCTGGGTGTGGTAGTGTGCACCTGACAATTTGTGAGCATCCAAAGGAGGAACCACGTGGATAAATTTTCAAGCAGAGGTAGGCTGGCAGCCAGGGGACTGAAATGTGTGAGGATCTAACCCTCAGCCATGGTGGATGTACTCAGGGCCTGGGGCGAGGACACATACATGTCCCTGTCGCTCAGATGTACCCCCTTCTTTCTCACCAGAGCAGTTTGGGCCATGTGTAATGATATAAATGTGCACATATTTTCAGTAATTTCAGTTCTTTTTAGAGAGAGGATATTTTATCTGCTGAGTCCTCTGAACTAGACATTTACTTGGAACAAAATATGTTGCAGGCTCTCCTGAATGTTCCTTAACAGCTGAGCCACCAATCCTTTCTCTACACCTATTTAAAAGAGTTCATTTGCACTTGGGGCTTTGGGTTTTAGTTGTTATTTTTTTTCTGCTGAATTTCTTTTTCTACCTACAGGAGGTGAGTGGTGAGAAGTTGCTGAGTAGGCACCTAAGGCAGAGATGGGGAGTAAGAGGATAGTTGGGGGACAGTAGGTTTAACGCCAGCTAATCTCAGCACCTTGGTCCAACTCATTTAAAGAAAGGGGCTATGGGGCTGGGCGCGGTGGCTCATGCCTGTAATCCCAGCACTTTGGGAGGCCGAGGTGGGCGGAACATGAGGTCAGGAGGTTGAGACCAGCCTGGCCAACACGATGAAACCCTGTCTTTACTAAAAATACAAAAAATTAGCCAGGCGTGGTGGTGTGCACCTATAGTCCCAGCTACTCGGGAGGCTGAGGCAGGAGAATCGCTTGAACCCAGGAGGCGGAGGTTGTGGTGAGCAGAGATGATGCCACTGCGCTCCAGCCTGGGCGACAGAGCAAGACTCTGTCTCAAAAAAAAAAAAAAAAAAAAAGAAAAGAAAGGGGCTATGAGTAACAATGAGTAACACCTGATGGGACATTTTAGACAAGCGTCCTTGTGAGAGTGGGGTACAAGCAGTGCTGCTTCAGGGCTGTTGCATCCAGAGGGCATCTCCCCATTTCTGTATAAAATAACATCACAGAGCATAGCTGGGGGCAGGCACAGCACAGCAGTGACATCTTTCAGTTGATGCCACCTGCTGTCACTTGGAGGGAGTATACTTTAATGGGGAAACTAAAGCAGGACTTGATCCTAAACAAATTTGAGACGTATCTAGAAATAATTGCTACCACTTCTTGGGGTAGGGAAGAGGGCGCTGACATCCTGTCAGTGAGAGATAATGAGTCAGCAGAGTTTGGAGTACTCATGTTTATGTGACTTCTGTGTACCCACAAGGGGACATTTGGGATTTTAAACTATGAAAAGCATGTAATATTATTTATTACAAGAGCTATTATTATAAATTGCACTTTTCTGACTATGGATCACTAAGAATAATCAGAGTTCAAATTCAATGTGCCAGATCTTAGCAATCACATGCTTATTAAATAAGGGTTGCTCTTCCGGTTGTTATCAGAAGTTAGCAACTTAATTGAACCCATGGTTGACATGGCACTTGAAGTGGTATAGATACATTTAAAAAGTGGCTTACCCATGACTAATGACTAATTTTTAAAAATAAGGTTATAACCATTGAACAGGGAAGAGTAGGCCAAAAACTTTTTATCAGGTTATGCAAAAGACAAAAATGGGTGACTTGAGGAACACAACTTGCTTCATAAGTAACTTGAGGCTTGGCCGTCTCTTGGGTATAATGATGAAATTCATGTTTATTGAGTATTTACAAGGTGCCATGCACTCTAATGCTCACAAAAATCCTCTGAAAATGTATTATTATGATTATCTTCATTTTACAGATAAAACAACTGAGGCACAGAGAAGGGAGGCAACTTGTCCTAGGTCACACAACCAGAAAATAGAAAAGCCAGGATTTGAATTTGTACTTTCTGGCTTCAGAAGCTATATTCTTAGTAACTACTCTATATAGTTTTTCCGTAAGTCCCGTAAACTGAACTAAAAAATAATAATAATAAAAAGAAAAAGAGTTAACAGTATCTCACTGTAGACAAACATTTCACAAAACAGATCTGGAAAATAATCAGCTCTAGTATCAGTTAATTATGATGTAGTTAAACCTTAATATCCTTTTCTTGCTTTCTTTTCCTTTAACATGCAAACCAAAAATGATACTAGATTTAGTAGGCACTTTATTGCTTAGAATTGTATTATTAAATAACTCAAAAAAGTAAACTAAATGCATGAAAATGTAGCATTGACATAAACTTCAAAATTTTACCAACCTATGACTTTTGTCACAAATTTTTCAATACTAGTGAGGCTAGTTTTGTTTCTAACTGCCCTGATAGTTCATTATAGTTTTTTAAAATGGTATTTTATGCCAGATTGAATATGTTGTATGCATTTTTATATATTGTCCCAGCATAAATACAGAATTTAAAATAATGAATTTCTAACTTTTCAGATATTGCCTTCTTGTTCCTTTTAGAATGAAGTATATATTCCTGTTACTTACAGTGAGTAACCTAAAACTTCTCACCCAGAAGTCTGTGCTCCAAAAATGTTTGCTATGTGGATAAGTAGGGAATGTAGTCGTTATTTCCCATTCTTTTTGGATGTTCAGCTTCTGAACCTTCTTCTAATTTTGGGAGAATTCCTACTTCTTAGGAGTCTTGATAGGAAAGAAGCTAAAGACAGACAATGGCTTTCCCAGCCTCCCCTGATGCTGGGGTGTGGGTGTATGACCCAAGTTCCACCAATCAGAGACCTGTCCCAGGGTAGACACTGGCATAAAAAAGAGAGATTAGTAGGAATCCTTTCTGGAGGCACAATGCAAGTTTGACCTAATTCATTATGCAGGAAAGATATTTCAAACTGTTTTTCTTGTATGGAAATACTTAAACATTAAGTCACCTGAGCATAGTCTGAACAACCTGGAAGGCTGCGAATGAAGCTGTGCACATCATCCACGGTCCACTTCTGAATATCTTCATCCAAAGAAAGATTCCCCCCAATTGTAACCAGTGCATGTGTTCCTTTAAAATGGAAAGAAATTGTGGCATAAAATACATACAGGTTTATGTATAGTTACATTAATTTCCTTATATTCTATCACCCCAGAGTGGTCTTGATTTGCAAACGCCTTACAAGATATTAGGAATTACTAGGAGATGTTTTCTAAAAGCTTCAGCTGCCTCCTTTCTTTTCTTTCTCTGAAAAGATCTTTACTGATAGCATTTATTGTAAGTAAACAAGTTCCAGGTTTGCACCAGCTTCTCTCAGATTACAACAGAAATGCCCCATGGATTCTATTCTCCAGATTAATGTTACTATGTTTTCGTGATAGGTGATTATCCTGCTTTCGAGATGAGACAATAATTTAGCTACATTTTCATCAGAATGGCAAATTAACACTTTGTAGGGAAACAGTTGGTATGGTGGCTGTATTACATGCCCTTCACAATCCCTGTGTCTTAAAATATATTTTTTTTTATCTAAAGGAGTGCTAGAAAACTATTCAGTGTGCGTTTCTGTCATGAAGTGCATTAGTATTTTTAAATTTGAAAGTATCAACAGTATTGGACACTGAAAGGTAATACTTCTGCTTAATTGCCTGTTTTTTCATATACTTAAATATCAGGGAGATAGAATTCACACTTTGAAGCAAGACGCCTCTCTGCTTTGTTGAAGAAATGAACACTAAATTACATTAAAATCTTAAATTAAAATTCTATTATGTTTCCCAAGATATTTACCTTCCCAGCCTTTGTTGAAAATTCTCTATATAGCAAAATATAAACAGAGGCTAGTTTCACTGATATGGCTTATTAGCACTGATAGAATAAAATGATGCTAAGAGAAGGTAATTCCAAGCAGGATTAAGAAAAAGAAAGATAAAGCCGGGCGCGGTGGCTCACGCCTGTAATCCCAGCACTTTGGGAGGCCGAGGCGGGCGGATCACGAGGTCAGGAGATTGAGACCATCCTGGCCAACATGGTGAAACCCCGGCTCTAATAAAAATACAAAAAAATTAGCCGGGCGTGGCAGCATGCTCCTGTAGTCCCAGCTACTCGGGAGGCTGAGGCAGGAGAATGGCGTGAACCCGGCAGGCGGAGGTTGCAGTGAGCCGAGATCGCGCCACTGCACTCCAGCCTGGGCGACTGAGCGGGACTCCGTCTCAAAAAAAAAAAAAAAAAAAAAAAAAAAGAAAGATAAAAAGAGGCAGGATGGTTACAGTTTATTATGTAGTAACCTACGGACTTGGCAACCTGTAGTTAATGAGGATCTGCCATTGGCCCCTGGACACCCACCTGGCAGAGATGGTCGAGGAACTGGAGGGCAAACCCCATTCTTTTCATCACAGGTTGCAAAAATCTGCTCCGAAGCCTCCTCTTTCCCATCGTCCCAGGCCTTTGCTTTCAGGGTAGTGGTGTGAGACCCCCAGGGTTTCCTATGGGTGGGCTCGAGCTCTCCACAGGTGTTGGCAAGAGCTGTCGTTGGCTTTTCATTCGTTTCACTTGACTTCTGGTTGCTGGGTGCTTCAATGTCTGGGTCTTTTGCATAATGATCCTCTTCATAGGGAACTGCATGAGTCTGACCTAGGATTTTTTCTTCTGCTTGACTTTTGGAACTCTCAGCATCACTGTCTAGAGCTTTTTGATTCCCTGTATTTTTCCTGAGTCGACGACATCTCTGCCCCCAGCTCTCCTCAAAGTGTGGTGCAGTTGCCGCTAGCATGGGGTTTCCCTGAAGGTTTCTGAGGGTGCTTCTGTGAAAATGCAGGTCACCGGCAGGGAGCATGCTCCTGCCATGGTAGGCAGCGGGGGCAGCTGGGACACTGGAGCCATAGAGGAAGGGTATCCCTAGGCCTGCTAGTCCCTTGGGATTAATTTTTTCCATTCTCCTTTGCTGGTAAATAGCATACATTTCCATTTCTGTCCTAAAAACAAAACAATATATTTTATACAGCCCAAGAAAACCACTATAAATGTAATTTTAATGACCCCTTGTCTTCCCTAAAATAGTCCTCACACTGTTTATCTGAAGTTTGTTTGGTGGAAACATGAATCCCCCACAAAGCCACTGGGAAGGAGAGTTTTGAGTAAGATCTGAAGCTTTGTCTGAGTCTCACAATGGAAGTCCAAAGGCCAGTCTTTAGAGTGTTACCTTTAAACAGACGAGGCAAATTTAGCAGGGATGGGGCTTACGCAGCACAGCTAGTTCCTTGCCAGAGATTAATCCTCAAAAAACCTAAAGTACTGGGAAGAGGTTTTCAAACCCTGCAAAATAATCTTAGTGAGATTCAAGAAAGACAATTAGACATTGCAAGTCTCAATATTTATAAATAAATGCAAGTGGCTGGGGAAGAGCAGAGGAAAAGACTCGGTAGTTTTGCTTACTTCACTTTGCTTTTTGGTCCTCAATTGGACCCCTTTGGGTTCAGCGATGAGAAAGTTGACTCTGCCTTCTCTTACCCTGGGGCCATACCCTATTCATTGTTATACTTTTCTTTCTCCTGGGTACTATAGCTGAAGGCCACTGTTGGGCTGACATGGGTGTTGTCTGAGTTCTGATGGCATAATCTGAAGTCAGGTAGGCAAACTTGGCTCCTATCTTTGCGCAAAATTGAAGTCATTTAAGACAGTAATGCCAATATGAATTTCAGAGGAGTCGTAGGCATTTTAATTATGGGACACTGATGGTCTTTTGCAATCTGTGTACTAATACTACTGTTAGCTTCACTGTGTGATTTCTTTTTATTTGTTCAAGACAGAGTCTCACTCTGTTGCCCAGGCTGGAGCACAGTGGTGCAATCTCGGCTCACTGCTACCTCCTCCTCCCAGGTTCAAGCAATTCTCTGCCTCAGCCTCCTGAGTAGCTGGGATTACAGGTGCCTGCCACCACCCCTGGCTGGTTTTTTTGTATTTTTAGTAGAGACGGAGTTTCACCATCTTGGCCAGGCTGGTCTTGAACTCCTGACCTCATGATCCACTCACCTCGGCCTCCCAAAGTGCTGGGATTACAGGCCTGAGCCACTGTGCCCGGCCGTGATTTCTAATCTTGCTTTTATCCTTAACCAACCTGCATACATGTTTGTATTCATTTCTTTTTCTTTTTTTTTTTAAGTGAAAGCAAGTTTATTAAGAAAGTAAAGGAATAGAGAATGGCTACCCCATAGGCAGAGCAGACTATGTTTCTTTTTGTAATCTGCCTGAAATACTTTATGTAAGTAATTTGTGTGTGTGTATTTATTTGTTATATATATTCATCTATTCATTTGTTATATGAAGATAACAAGTGAATAAATGAGCAAGTGAATGAATAGAGAATAAATAAAACAACATTGCCAAATTACCTGGCAGTATGATGCCGTTGAATCATTTCATTCCTTCTGGCCACTGCCTTTATGGATTCAGGTGGTAAAATGCCCCAACCTTAAAAAAGAAAACCACCATCCCACCCCACAAATAAATTAAAAACATGCATTTGAAAATAATAAAATAAACTATAACAATGTAAAACAGTATCTGAAAAAAAAAAAACAAACCAGCAATTGCGCACAATTTTGGAAATGGTATCAGATCATTGCAGTTCGGTATCTTAGAGTCACGTTGGTGACAGCATGACAAATACCAGATAATTTTTTGTTCTTTAATTGTTGGTCTCATGACTGGTGGCATTTTCCTGCCATACTTTAATAGGAAAAAGATGAAGTGATTTGTGAATCTCGTGATCTGTGCCTTTTTTGGTCTTTTAAAAGTATACGTATTTTTTGGGTACCACTTGATGTTTTGATATATGTATATACATTGTGGAATGCTTAAATCAAGCTAATTAACATATGCCTCACCTCACATATTTATCACTTTTTGTGGTCAGAAGATTTATAATCTATCCTTTTTTTTGAGACAGAGTCTCGCTCTGTCATCCAGGCTAAAGTGCAGTGGTGTGATCTTGGCTCACTACAACCTCTACCTCCCAGGTTCAAGCAATTCTCCTGCCTCAGCCTCCCAAGTAGCTGGGATTACAGGCGCATGCCACCACACCCAGCTAATTTTTGTATTTTTAGTAGAAATGGGGTTTCACCATGTTGGCCAGGCTGGTCTCGATCTCCTGACCTTGTGATCTGCCTGCCTCGGCCTCCCAAAGTGCTGGGATTACAGGCGTGAGCCACTGCACCTGGCCAGAAACAATTTTTTATACTCACTTTGCACCAAGCAAGTAAAGTGCTTTAAATTTCTACCAATAATCTATCTTGAAAGAAATCATACTAGATCTTTTTTAAAAATGAGGTTCTTTGTTATCTGTAAAATCAAGGAGTTAGATGAAGTGATCACCAGGAATCCTTCTAACTGTAAAGCTCTAGGTTTTTTGTAGTTCAATAGCTTTGAGATACTCTCTTTTAGACAGCTGGCATGCATGAAGCTACCAATTCATGGCATACTGCCCACGGACACAGAGAAAGTCTGTGCAAGAAGTCCAGTCTAGAGAGCACAATACTAACTGCCTGGATTTTAGAACCCTCTGAGGTCTGGTCTCAAGAAACCTTCTCCCATACTTTCTCTTTCCCAAACAGGCAATATCAAACTTAATGTTAGTTCAGTTGTATAATTCACTGCTACCTAACAACCCTGTTTTGTAAACAGATCCCTGTCTTAGTTTCTATTTTGCTAACTTACTTAGTAGCTCAGTTTTTGTAGGACTGAGGCCTTATCTCACCCATGCTTTCTCTTATACTTCAGCCTTGAGGTTGGAGACCTGACCTAAGTAAGTCCAGGCTGGAGTGTAATGGCATGGTCTTGGCTCATTGCAACCTCCCTCTCCCGTGTTCAAGTGATTCTCCTGCCTCAGCCTCCCAAGTAGCTGGGACTACAGGCATGTGACACCACACCTGGCTAATTTTCATATTTTTAGTAGAGACGGCGTTTCACCATGTTGACCAGGATGGTCTCGAACTTCTGACCTCGTGATCTGCCCGCCTTTGCCTCCCAAAGTGCTGGGATTATAGGCATGAGCCACCACACCTGGCCTGCAGTGCAGCTGTTTTACTAGTCTATTGGCCTGTTGTCGGTAATCATGGGCTGCAGATTACTGGGTTATTGCTGCCAGCTGGCTTCCATCCAGGATCTGCTGTTGGACTGTCTCCTTTGGTCCTTGAACCAATTTACTGAGTGGGCCCAGTTCCAGATCTGGCCCTTGCTTGGATGCTTGCTCTCACTGCAGTTAAATGGATTCGTGACCTGTGGTAGAAACATGCTCAAATCCAGGCAGGCCAGTCTCTTCCCTGACCCAGGCGTGAATCCTATTTCTTTTTGTGTCAGGCTTTCCCTTCACATTGCTCCCATCTATTAAGAGTTGTTGAAATTGTGGAGCAGGGATAAGCATAAACTTATGAATATGGTTTTGGGGGGGATAGAAGATACACCAGTTTGAGCTTCAACATTTTGAGGAAATTCTCACCTCCTAGTCTCTCCTGAGCCCTCACAAGTCATGTTTTCACCAACACGACTCTACTGAAATTGCTCACATCAAAATCTCTGATGACCGCCACATGGCGCTAAATCTAATGATATATTCTCAGTTTTCATCTTACTTGCTCTGCAGATGGCACACTTGACACAGTTGCTCACTCTCTCCTTAAAATAGTCCAATGTAAAATGATCGTAAATCTGACCACAAAAAGTGTTAAATATGGCTGGGCATGGTGGCTCACACCTGTAATCCCAGCACTTTGGGAGGCTGAAGCAAGTGGATGACTTAAGTCAGGAGTTCCAGACCAGCATGGCCAACAGGGTGAAACTCTGTCTCTACTAATAATACAAAAATTAGCCGGGTGTGGTGGCGCACACCTGTAATCCCAGCTACTTGGCAGGCTGAGGCAGGAGAATCGCTTGAACCAGGGAGGCAAAGGTTGCAGTGAGCCGAGATTGTGCCATTGCACTCCAGCCTGGGCAACAAGAGTGAAACTCCATCTCAAACAAACAACAACAACAAAAAAGGTGATAAATGTGTGAGATAAGGCATATGGTAATTAGCTTGATGTAATCATTCCACACTTTCTTCCTGTGGCCTCCAGGCCACCATGCTCTCCTGGGTTTCTTGCTACCTCACTGGTTCCCCTCACTTGTTTTGCTTCTCCCTTGCTTGCTTTTCCTCATCTCTGGACTCTGTTAGTGGGTTCCAGAGATGCTCCTTTTACCTCTTCTATCTGCACTCTCTCCATAGGTGATCTTATCTAGCCTCATATATGCTGATTACTTCCAAAAGTATATCCCTAAATTGTCCTCAGACGTTCTCCCTGCACTTCTGCTGCCTTCCTGACCTCTCCGCTTGGGTGTCTGTTAGGCATCTCAGATGTAATATGAGCAAGCTGAGCCTCTGATTCTCTCCCTCCGCAAGAACTCTGTTCCTTCCACAGTCTTCCTCAACTCAGTGAGCAGCAACTCCATCTTTCCAACTACTTGCACCAAAATTTTTGATGTCATTCTTAGTATCTCTTTCTTCCACCTTCCACATACACACTGTGAGAAAATCCTGTTGTTTCTACAATCAAAATAATTACAGGATTTAGCCACTCTTTATTATTCCTACTGCCACCATCCATGACCAAGCTGTCATAATCTTTTAGCTATTCTAATGGCCTGCTAATTCCCATCAGTTTATTCCCAGAACTTTGATCCCATCAGGTTTGTCCCCATCTCAGAAGCCAGAATTATTCTGGTAACATTTAAGTCAGACCATGTTGCTCTTTTGCTCAAACCCCTTGATGGCTTCCCTTTTTACTCAGAATAAAAGCCAAATTCTCACTATGACCATCGGGCCCATGTAAACTGCCTTAAGCCCCATTAATTCTCAGATCTAATCTCCTCATAACTTTATCAGTTCCTCATGTGTAAGATAAGACAAATAGTAATACTGCAGTTCTTCACGTTATTCATGAATAAATTGACACTTAGAGGAGTCAAGCAGCTTACACTTGGTCACACAGTGGTAGCACCATGATCTGAACCTAGGTGGTGACTACAGAGACTGCAGAGACAACCACCACACAGATCTGCCTCCAAAATTTAGGAGTAATTTGATGGCAAACTTAATGCATCCATCCAGTTCAAAATGACTCCACAGATGAGAGCCAAACTTCTATTGCTCATACCTGGGTAGATCCGACTGGACAACACATTTGCCATATTTGTGTTTGGTAGAACAGAGGATCCAAATTGGGAAGGAACGCAAAACTGTCTTGGGTCAGTTGGAGCTACGGTGGAAGGCAATACATCTCTGAGAACAAAAAGATATAAAATAAAATAGGTAAAATGAGGTTGGAGTACACAATTTCCATGGCTGAGACAATGAGATTTTGTTATTGCCATATGGGATTCTATCATCTCTTCTCAAGATGAAATACAAAAGTCCTGGAGTCTTTATGAATTTATGGAGAAATATGGTGGAAAGATCGGGAAGTACTCCACTAACGAAGGATTGACCCAGCTGACAACAAAATGAGAAAGCAGGAAAGGAAAGTTTTAGGGATGTCTAGAAAAAATATTTAAATAAATCAACACTGCTCTCTGATTTTTCATGACCAACAGTCTACTGTGACCACAAATTCTTTTCTCATTTAATGGACATACTTTGGTTGGGTTTACCATCTGGGATCAATGTTTGAGTACCTGGGTGGACAACTTATTTTTCTAAACTTTAGTGGTCTCTAGAAGTTCCACTTTACTGTTCACACTCCATAAACAAGGATAAATAATGAGTTCTGCTTTCTCTCCTGAAGGTCAAAATATTCTAAACAACAACAACAAAAAACAAAAAAACAAGGGAAGGTAAGTTATTTCCAGAGTGTGCAACCCAAATACTTATAATTTACTTTTTATTGAAAAGAAATAATTCTTTCTTCACGGGAAATCCAGGGTACCCAGTTGTTATGGACTTGTTTCGCCTCGCCACCAAAAAATTAGCATGTTGAAGCCTTAACTGCTAATGTGACTGTACTTGGAATAGGGCCTTTAAGGAGGTAATTTCGATTAAATGATATTATAAAGGTGGGGCCCTAATCCGATAGTACTAGTGTCCTTTTAAGAACAAGAGATACCAGGGATCCCTTTCTGCAAAGGCAAACTAGGAAGGGCTATGTGAGGATACAGTGAGCAGGTGTCTGCCTGTAAGCCAGAAAGAGAGACCTCACCAGACACCAACCCTGCAGCACCTTGATCTTGGACTCCCAGCTCCAGAACCATGAAATAAAGTTCCGTTGTTTAAACCATCCAGTATTTAGTATTTTATTATTTTTATTTATTTGTTTATTTTTTCTGAGATGGAGTTTCGCTCTTGTTGCCCAGGCTGGAGTGCAAGGGCACGATCTCAGCTCACCACAACCTCCACCTCCTGGGTTCAAGCGATTCTCCCGCCTCAGCCTCCCGAGTAGCTGGGATTACAGGCCTGCACCACCATGTCTGGCTAATGTTTTGTATTTTTAGTAGAGATGGGGTTTCTCCATTTTGGTCAGGCTGGTCTCAAACTCCTGACATTGTGATCTGCCCACCTTGGCCTCCCAAAGTGCTGGGATTACAGGCGTGAGCCACTGTGCCCGGCTGTCTGCAGTATTTTATTATGGCAGCCCTAGAAGACTATTACTCCAGTGTTTGCACCTGCACAATGCCTGTCATATAGTATGTGCTCATTAATTATTTGCTGAGTGAGTAGGTCAAGCAGGTCTCAGAGGAGAAATGACAGCAGATGTCTTGAAGGTGAGGCCAGCAGGGTGTCTTGACTTGAATTACTGCACCACAGTTCACTGAAATAATATTAGGCAATAAAACAACACTAGACTTAACATCATTCCAAAACGTAATGATTGTCCATGTTGTTCTTTGATCAAACTATTATATTGAAGAGAAATACCTGTCCACAGTTGGAGGCCCAAATGGTGAGGGGATCAGTGGGATTGTCTGCTGCCCTGTTGGTGTCAATAAAGGGTTCACAGCCATCACCGGGTTTGTCTTCAATATCTCTCGCCACTAATGGAGTTCTAAAAAGAACCAGATAGACACTTTAACAAATAACTCTACTTTTTGTGAACTATTTGAATTCTTCTTGAACACAATAAAAGCCTTTTGTATTTTCACAACACTTGGGAAGACTAGCTACACCAAGCTTTTAGTTACACAAAAACCCCAGATATAATTGTAGAACTCAGTGTTTTATCAGTATGCCCTTGGAATTTGTTGCAGAGTTCACAGGTAATACGGTACCAAACTACAAGCAATAATAAAATTAAATCAGCCTTGCAAGATTCCAGAAATACCAACGTCCTTTCTTTTTTGTTGTTGTTGTTGATTTTTGAGATGGAGTTTCAATTTTTGCCCAGGCTGGAGTGCAATGGTGCAATCTTGGCTCACTGCAACCTCCGCCTCCCGGGTTCAAGCCATTCTCCTGCCTCAGCCTCCAGAGTAGCTGCGATTACAGGCACCCACCACCACGCCCGGCTAATTTTGTATTTTTAATAGAGACAGGGTCTCACCATGTTGGCCAGGCTGGCCTTGAACTCCTGACTGCAGGTGATCCACCCGCCTCAGCCTCCCAAAGTGCTGGGATTACAGGCGTGAGCCACCGTGCCTGGCCCCAACTTCCTTTCTTGCAACTTACTTTGATTCTTACATTTCCAGAGGTACAAATGCATAAATTCTCCCATACGTTCAATCTTTGGAAAAATATTCCTATTTAGTTGATAAGATTTAACACCAGAAAATGAGGGAGGAGAATATTTTTAATGTCTAAAAGTATATCTAATTAGAAGGGATACAGACTGCACGAGACTGTATTTAATTAGAACTGTGATCAAATTACAGCCAAGTTTACATAAATACAAATATTCATATGCTTTACCTTCAGAAACTAGTGATCAGAAAAAAGGACTACTGTTAAAGGGATAACATTTTTCCTGACATTTTCTTGTTCTTTAATATCCTTTGAATGATTTTAAATATAAAAACAAGTACTAGTTGAACAGGTCATTTTAGCTTCTTCTTCATTCTCAACTCCCACTTTTAAAATATCTGAGAACTCTGAGACAGAGAGTAGAACAATGGTTACCTGGGATGGGTAGTGGGGTGGAAGGGGGAAGGGAGGATGGTTAATGGGTACAAAAATATAATTAGATAGAATGAATAAGATCTAGTATTTGATAGCACAGCAAGATGACTGCAGTCAACAATAATGTATTGTACATTTAAAAATAACTAATCGTAGGGCCAGGTGCGGTGGCTCATGCCTGTCATCCCAGCACTTTGGGAGGCTGAGGCAGGCGGATCGTTTGAGGTCAGGAGTTCAAGACGAACCTGGCCAACATGGTGAGACCCTGTCTCTACTGAAAATACAAAAATTAGCCAAGTGTGGTGGCGCGTGCCTGTAATCCCAGCTACTCGGGAGGCTGAGGCAGGAGAATTGCTTGAATCTGGGAAGTGGAGGTTGCGTTGAGCTGAGATGGCGCCACTGCACCCCAGCCTGGGTGACAGAGAGAGACTCCATCTCAAAAATAAACAAACAGGCCGGGTGCAGTGGCTCATGCCTGTAATCCCAGCATTTTGGGAGGCCGAGGCGGGCGGATCATGAGGTCAGGAGATCGAGACCAGCCTAGCTAACATGGTGAAACCATGTCTCTCCTAAAAATACAAAAAATTAGTCAGGTATGGTGGCGGGCGCCTGTAGTCTCAGCTACTCAGGAAGCTGAGGCAGGAGAATGGTGTGAACCTGGGAGGCGGAGCTTGCAGTGAGCCGAGATTGTGCAACTG